>NC_000007.14:149306864-149458379 GCF_000001405.40 Homo sapiens
AACAACAATTGTTTCATTTACTTTTCCCCAAGTCCCATGAGGGCCCATTTCCCATCCCCCCAACCAAGCCATTGAGAAGGGTAAAATCCATTCGTAGCCTGTGGGGCTGTGCCCCGTGACAGACCACGGTTTGCTGATTCCTGCTGTAGAGGTTCTCATTTAGACTGGATAAAGAAAATATGGTACACGTATACCCTGGAATACTATGCAGCCATAAAAAAGAATGAGATCATGTCCTTTGCAGCAACATAGATGGGGCTGAAGACCATTATCCTAAGTGAACTAACAAAGGAACAGAAAACCAAATACTGGATGTTCTCACTTAGAAGTGGGAGCTAAACATCTTCACATGGATACAAAGAAGGGAACAACAGACACCAGGTTCTACTGGAGGGTGGAGGGAGGGAAGAGGGTGAGGATCAGAAAACTACCTATTGAGTACTATGCTTATTATTTGGTGACAAGATAGTCTGTGCACCCAACCCCCACGATATGCAATTTACCCATATAACAAATATGCACATGTACCCCAAACCTACAATAAAAGTTAAAAAAAAATGAAGGTTCTCATTTAATCCTCACAATTGTAGGACCTTCTATTTTATTCTTTTTGAGGTAGGGTCTCGTTCTGTGGCCCAGGCTGGAATGCAGTGCTGTGATGATGGGTCCCTGCAGCCCCAACCTCCCAGGCTCAAGCAATCCTCCCTCCTCAGCCTCCCAAGTAGCTGGGACCACAGGCACATGCCACCACACTCGGTTAATCTAAAAAAATTTTTTTTGTAGAGGTTGGGGTCTCGCCATGTTGCCCAGGCTGGTTTCAAACTCCTGAGCTCAAGCAATCCTCCAGCCTCAGCCTGGAGGCTGGAATTACTGGTGTGAACCACTGCGCCCCGCTGTAGGGCTTTTACATCCCCATTTAACAAATGGCAAAACAGAGTCCTAGGCAGGTCCAAGAGAAAAGAGGTCTCAGTTAGCACTCAAGGAGGCGGCCACACTCACGGCTCCAGCTGGACCATCAGTAAGGAGGACCGAAGGACTCCCACCCCGCTGCGGAGCAGCCCTTTCCGCCCCGCTCCCAGAGCACTGCGGCCTCCTCCTCACTTGCTTCCTGCAGGTGAGAGGTGGTGGACAGGACCTGTGAGGGTCTGGGCCAGCCTCCTGGCTTCATAGGTAAGGAATGGGGTTTTGTGTGGTGTGTGCGTCTCAGCCTTCACGGAGCATTCCTAACAGTTCTCTACTTCGCCACATGCAGTGAGGTCCACTTATTTTCTCCTGATCTGGGCTATTTCCTTCCCTTCCCTTACTCAGCCCTCCCTCTTACTTGGGGAGCCAAGGTCTCCAGGGAAAGCTATTTATTTCGTGGCCAGAGAGGCCGCAGCCCTAGCAATCCCAGGAACCCCCACATCTGCGCAGGCCAGCCAGGCTGGAGAAGCTGGAATTTCACAGCCTGGAGGTGATCAGGCCCAGTCAGGCGGCTTCACTCTTTTCTCTTCAGTCCCTGCCCTGGATGCAGGGACCAAGTAGCCCCCCTGCGTGGGGACTGTATTAATTCCCTAGGGCTGCCATACAGGGTATTACAAATGGAGTGGCTTGAAACAACAGCAGTTTATTCTTGGACAGTTCTGGAGACCAGAAGTCAGAAGTGGAGGTGCCAGTCAGGCCTGCTTCCTCGGAGACGCTGGGTAGAGCTCTTCCTTGCCTCCTCCCGGCTTCTGGTGTGGCCTTGCTCCTTGGTGCTTTTGGCTTACAGACATTCGCTCCAGTCTCTGCCTCCATCTTCCCATGATATTCTTTCTGTGTTTGTGTCTGTCTCCTTTCCTCTTCTTACAAGGACATCAGTGATATTGGATAAGGGCCCACCCTAATGACCTCATCTTGAGCTCATTATATCTGCAAAGACCCTGTTTCCAGATAAGGTCCCGTTCACAGGTACCAGAGGTTAGGGTTTCAATGTATCTTTTTAGGTGACCCATTCAATCCAAAGCAGGGACCTTGCCTCTTGGCGAACATGCACAGTGAAGACCACCCTTGAATACCAGAGTTCGTCTCTTAAGTGGGCTATAATATGAAAAATATGGGAAGGCATTCATGTGCGAAAGCCAGAATAGGGAGAAGCCACCTGGATTTGAACCCCAACTTCTTGACCTACAGTCCAGTGCCCTAAGCTGTGGCCCCAACACATCAGCAGTTCTTATGGGTCCTTTTCTCCAGTGGGGTCACACTCAGGGCCCATGTTGACTATTAATTCTGCAAGGAGGTCCTGCTGTACTGTAGGCCTTGGGCCTCGATGCCTCTCTAAGATCCTCCCCCATTGTCTCACCCAACACTGTGCAATGACCATCCTTGAACTTTCTTGTCAAGGCTGCACCTGAATCCATTGCTCTTGCTGCCATTTTCACATGGAATTCCTTCCCACCTGCCTTGTTTAAGTAAGCCCTTCAGAACGCAAAGCCCATTTTGAATAGGGAACATGCCATTACCCTAGTTTTGGTCAGGTGTGTAATTTACACCCTCTCCTCTGTATTCCAAGAGCTATTATCATGAATTGCCATGACAGGCATTTCCACTAAACTTTTAGCTCCTGAGGCCGGGAATTGTGTGGTTGTTAGAGTCTGGGACACAGGAGGCACCTACTAGTGCTCATTGAATTAATGCATGAAACTCATCAAGGAATCTGGCTGTGCAGGGCTTCCCATGGCTCTGTTTAGCAGAGGCAGTAGGTTGCTAGTCTTTCTTAATATGTTCCACTCTGCTGAGAATACTGAGAGGCCCCTAGGGCTGCAGTGATGGTCCCCCATGGCCATGTCCTGGCTACTCCTGACTTCTTTTAGAGAACCACTTTTCTCCTCATACTATAGACATATATTCTGAGTGGAGGCAGATATATTCTTAGAAGACCTTACTCCTGAAATGGTTATACCCCTTACATATCTTAATCCTTGGTGGCAGTGGCTGCTCATGGATAGGCACAGAACCCAAGCCAAACCAACCACAGTCCTTCTCTAGAATTTTTTAGACTCAAGTCTTTTTCTCTCTGGCAATCAAAGTGTGGAGCTATGAACCTACAAATGTTGGAGGCAGGGTCTCAGCTGCGTGGAGAGTTGGGTTTGAGACATTAAAACTAACTTAAGAGGGAACCAAAGAATAAAGCTACAGGGAGAGAGTCCTGAGAACATTTGAGTTCCTGGAAGTCAGCTTCTTGTCTGATATTTACATTATATTTTATTTTCTATCAGCTGAAATTTAATCTCTGCCACTTACCATCATGTTAATACAACACGATTCCAAAGCTGAAATAATATTAATAGGAAACATAATGGCAGCAGGGGGCATAGCTCAGTGGTAGAGCATTTGACTGCAGATCAAGAGGTCCCTGGTTCAAATCCAGGTGCCCCCTAGTTTTCTTCACTTCTAGAATGCATCTTTTGGGAGACAGTATTTGAGACAAAAAAGGAGATGAAGGAGAAACAATGAAAGAAGCTTAAGAAGAGGGAGAAATGGATGCTGGGTAAAAAGAATCAACAACTGTCCACCAGAGGGAGTGATATGGTCAGGCTGAAATCTGAAAAAAAATACCTAGTTTGGCCCAGCAATGTCTGAGTTGGAGGAGAAGACAGGAAGAGATGCTAGACCACTGCAATAATGATGTGCTGAGCAGAGCTGGACTGAGTATTGTTCCTTCTCAACAATTAGCCTCACTGAAGGTCTAGTCCCAAAGCCCTTGCAATCTCTTGATATGGTTTGGTTCTGTGTTGTCACCCAAATCTCTTGTTGAATTGTAATCCCCAGTGTTGGGGTAGGGATCTAGTGGGGGGTGATTATGGGGCAGATTTTTCCCTTGCTGTTCTTGTGATAGCGAGTGAGTTCTCATGAGATCTGGTTGTTTGAGAGTGTGTAGCACTTCCCCCTTTACTCTCTTTCTTTCCTGCCGGCCATGTGAATATGTGCTTGCTTCTCACACCCCTTCTGCCATGATTGTAAGTTTCCTGAGGCCTTCCCAGAAGAAGCCTGTACATCCCACAGAACTGTGAGCCAATTACACCTATTTTCTTTATAAATTACCCAGTCTCAGGTATGTCTTTATAGCAGTGTGAGAACAAACAAATACACTTCTCTTTCCCTTCCCCCATGCTGTGGACAAAGATATCAACAAGAAAATTTTTCTTTGCTGGTCTGCACATAAGCTCAAGCTCAAAAGAGCTGTTGGCCTGGCGTGCAGAGACCTCTCCTGGAGGCCTGAGACTAGGATGATGATCATGTTGTCCCTTGGGTACTCCGTATATATCTGCAGTGGGAACAGTTCTCTGGCCCAGGAGCTCCTTGACTGCCAAAACAAAGTCTTCATCAGCTAGGGGTTCACAGAACATGACACAGATTGGAACAGGCAGGAGCTCAATAAATGTTTGTTGAATACACGAACTAGTGATGACCTTTTTAAAAATTTTTAAATTTTAAACTCAAGGGGTACGTGTACAGATTTGTTACATGGGTATATTGAGTAATGCTGATGTTTGGGCTTCTAATGATCCCATTGCCAAACAGGTAGTTTATTAACCCTTCTCCCCCTCCCTCCCTCTCCCCTTTTGGATTCCCCAATGCTTATTGTTCCCATCTCTCTGTCCATGTGTATCTAATGTTTAGCTCCCACTTATAAGTGAGAACATGTGGTATTTGGTTTTTTGTTTCTGTGTTAACTCACTTAGGATAATGGCCTCCAGCTGCATCCATGTTGCTGCAAATGATGTGATTTCATTCTTTTTTTTGTGACTCTGTAGTATTCCATGTTATATATGTACCACATTTTTTTTTGACAAGGCCTTGCTTTGTCACCCAGGCTGGAGTGCAGTGGTACAATCATGGCAATCATGGGTCTCTGCAGCCTCAACCTCCTGGGCTCAAGCAATCCTCCCACTTCAGGCTTCTGAGTAGCTGGGACTACAGGCATGCACCACCATGCCTGGCTATTTTAAAAAATTTTTTGTAGAGATGGGGGTATCACTGTGTTGACCAGGCTGGTCTCAAGCTCCTGGACTCAAGAGATCCTCCTGCCTTGGCCACCCAAAGTGTGGGATTATAAGCATGAGCCACCATGCCTGGCCCCATATTCTCTTTATCCTATCACTGGTGATGGGCACCTGGGTTGATTCCATGTCTTTTTTTTTTTTTTGAGACAGAGTCTTGCTCTGTCCCCTAGGCTGGAGTGCAGTGGCACGATCTTGGCTTACTGCAACCTCTCCCTCCCAGGTTCAAGCAATTCTCCCGCCTCAGCCTCCCAAGTAGCTGGGATTACAGGCACCTGCCATCATCCCGGCTAAGTATTGTATTTTTAGTAGAGACAGGGTTTCATCGTGTTGGCCAGGCTGGCCTTTGACTCTTGACCTCAGGTGATCTGCCTGCCTTGGCCTCCCAAAGTGCTGGGATTACAGGCATAAACCACTGCACCCGGCCTTCCATGTCTTTGCTATTGTGAATAGTGCTGTGATAAACATACAAGTGAAGGTGTCTTTTTGGCAGAACGATTTATTTTCCTTTGGGTATATACCCAGTAGTGGGATTGCTGGGTTGAATGGTAATTCTATTTGTAGTTCTTTGAGAAATCTCCAAATTGCTTTCTACAGGGGCCGAACTAATTTACCTTCCCACCAATAGTGTATAAGCATTCCTTTTTCTCTGCAACCTTGTCAACATCTGTTATTTAAAAATTTTTTAATAATAGCTATTCAGATTGGTGTGAGATGGTATCTCATTGTAGTTTTTATTTGCATCTCTCTGATGATTAATAATGTTGAGCATTTAAAAAACATGTTTGTTGGCTACTTGTATGTCTTCTTTTGAGAAGTGTCTGATCATGTCCTTTGCCAACTTTTTAATGCAGTTATTTGTCTTTTTCTTATTGATTTCTGTTTCTCATAGATTCTGGATATTAGACCCTTGTTGGATGCATAGTTTGCAAATATTTTTCCCCGTTTGGTAGCGTGTCTACTCTGTTAATAGTTTTTTTTTGTTTTTGTTTTTGTTTTTTGCTGTGCAGAAACTCTTTAGTTTAATTAGGTCCCACTAGTCAATTTTTTGTTTTTGTTGCATTTGCTTTTGAGGACTTAGTCATAAACTCTCTGCCTAGGTCAATGTCTAGAAGAGTATTCCCTAGGTTTTCTTCTAGAATAAGACATTTAAGTATTTAATCCATCTTGAGTTAATTTGTGTTTATGGCGAGAGGTAGGGGTCCAGTTTCATTCTTCTGCATGTGGTTAGCCAGTTTTCCCAGCACCACTTACTGAATAGGCTATCCTTTCCCCATTAAAAAAAAAACTATTTTGCTGAAGATCAATTGGTTATACAGGTGGCTTTATTTCAGTGGTCTCTATTCTGTTCCATTGGGCTATGTGTCTATTTTTGTACCAGTACTGTGCCATTTTAGTTACTGTAGCCTATACCATAGTTTCAAGTTGGGTAATGTGATGCCTCCACCTTTGCTCTTTTTACTTAGGATTGCTTTGGCTACTTGGGCACTTCTATGGTTCCATATGAATTAAGTTACATTTATTTATTTATTATTTATTTTTAAGACAGGGTGTTGCTCTGTCGCCTAGGCTGGAGGGCAGTGGCAAAATTTTGGCTCACTGCAACCTCCACCTCTTGGGCTCAAGTGATCCCTGCACCTCAGCCTCCTGAGTAGCTGGGACTACAGGTGCACACAACCATGTCCAGCTAATTTTTGTAGTTTTTGTAGAGATGCGGTTTCACCATGTTGCCCTGGCTGGCCTGACACTCCTGGGCTCAAGCAATCCACCCACCTCAGCCTCCCAAAGTGCTGGGATTATAAGCATGAGCCACAACACCTGGCCCCATATAAATTTTAGAATAGTTTTTTCTAATTCTGTGAAAAATGATGTTGGTAATTTGATAGGAATAACATTAAATCTGTAGATTACTTTGAGCAGTATGGCCATTTTAATGATATCGATTCTTCCAATCCATGAAGATGGAATATTTTTTCCATTTGTTTGTGTCATCTGATTTCTTTTAACAGTATTTTGTAGTTCTCTTTGTAGAGATCTTTCAACTCCTTGGCTAGATGTATTTTTGCATGTGTGGCTATTATAAATGGGATTGTATTCCTGATTTGGCTCTTAGCTGGAATGTTGTTGGTGTATAGAAATGCTACTGATTTTTGCATGTTGATTTTGTGTCCTGAAACTTTACTGAAGTAGTTTATCAGGTCTAGGAGTCTTTTGGTAGAATCTTTAGGGTTTTCCAGGTATAGAATCATATTGTCAGTGAAGAGAAATAATGTGACTTCCTCTTTTCCTATTTGGTTGCCTTTTCTTGAGTGATTGCTCTGGCTAGGACTTCCAGTATTATGTTAAATAGGAGTGGTGATAATGAACATCCTTGTCTTGCTCCAGTTCTTACGGGGAATGCTTCCAACTTTTGCCCATTCAGTATAACATTGACGTGGGTTTGTCAGAGATGACTCTTATTATTTTGAGGTATGTTCCTTTGATACCTAGTTTATTGAAGGTTTTTGTCATGAAGGGATGTTGGATTATACTAAATGCCTTTTTCTGCATCTATTGAGATGATCATATGGCTTTTGTTTTTAATTCTGTTTATGTGTTGAGTCACATTTATCGATTGCATATGTTGAACCATTCTTGCACCCCATGAATAAAGCCCTCTTGATTGTGGTGAATTAGCTTTTTGATGTGTTGCTGAATTCAGTACGATATTATTTTGTTGAGGATTTTTGTGTCTGTGTTCATCAGGAATAATATTGGTCTATAGTTTTATTTTTTTGTTGTATCTTTGCCAGATTTTGGTATCAGGGTGATACTGTTTTCATAGAATGAGTTAGGGAGGTGTTCCTCCTCCTGAATTTTTGGGAATTGTTTCATTGGGATTGGTACTAGCTCTTCTTTGTACATCTAGTGGAATTTGGCTGTGAATCCATCTGGTCCAGGGGATTTTTTGGGTAGGTTTTTAATTACTTATTTAATTTCATTACTTGATATTGGCCTGTTCAGGAATTCTGTTTCTTCCTGGTTCACTCTTGGGATGTTGTGTGTTTCCAGGAAGTTATCCATTTCCTCTAGATTTTCTAGTTTGTGTGCAAAAAGATGCTCATAGTAGTCTCTAAGAACCTTTTGTATTTCTGTAAGATCAGTTGTGATGTCTCCTTTGTCATTTCTGGTTGTACTTATTTGGATCTTCTCTTTTTTCTTTTTTTTTCTTTTTTGAAACGGAGTCTTGCTTTGACACCCAGGCTGGAGTGCAGTGGCGCAGTCTCGGCTCACTGCAAGCTCCACCTCCCGCGTTCACGCCATTCTCCTGCCTCAGCCTCTCCGAGTAGCTGGGACTACAAGCGCCCGCCACCACGCCCGGCTAATTTTTTTGTATTTTTATTAGAGACAGGGTTTCACCGTGGTCTCAATCTCCTGACCTCGTGATCTGCCCGCCTTGGCCTCCCAAAGTGCTGGGATTACAAGCGTGAGCCACTGCGTCCGGCCTTTCTTTTGTTACTTTAGCTAGCAGTCTATCAATCTTGTTTATCCTTTCAAATTACCAATTTTTGGTTTTCTTGTTTCTTTTTATGGTTTTTTGGGGTCTCAATTTCATTTAGTTTTGCTCTGATTTTGGTTATCTTTTCTTCTGCTAGCTTTGGGTGTAGTTTGTTCTTGTTTTTCTAGTTCCTTTAGGCGCAAGTTTAAGTTTTTAATGTAAGATCTTTCTATCTTCTTTATATAGGCATTTAATACTGCTTTTGCTGCATCCCAGAAGTTTTGGTATGGTGTGTCTCTACTTTCTTTGTTTCAGATAATTTTTAAATTTCTGCCTTAATTATGTTGTTTACAAAAAAGTCATTCAGGAGCAAGTTGTTTAGTTTTTGTGTATTCGTGTGGTTTTGAGAGTTCCTCTGGATATTTATTTCTATTTTTATTCCACTGTGGTCTGAGAAGATGCTTGGTATAATTTTGAGGTTTTAGAATTTTGTGAGACTTGCTCTATGACCAAGCACCTGGTCAATCTTAGAGTATGTCCCATGTGCAGAAGAGAAGAATGTACATTCTGTGGTAATTTGGGTGGAGTGTTCTGCAGACATCTATTAGATCTAATTGGTCAAGTATCAAATTGAAGTCTGGAATTTCTCTGTTAGTTTTCTACCTCCCTGACCTAATTCTGTCAGTGGGGTGTTGAAGTCACCACAATTATTACATGGTTGTCAAAATCTTTTCTTAGGTCTAGAAGTAATTGTTTTATAAATCTGGGTGCTCCAATGTTGGGGGAATATATACTTAGGATAATTAAGACTTTTTTTTTTTCTGAGATGGAGTCTCACTCTGTTGCCCAGGCTGGAGTGTGGTGGCATGATCTTGGCTCACTGCAACCTCCACCTCCTGGGTTCAAGTAATTCTCCTGCCTCAGCCTTCTGAGTAGGTGGGATTACAGACATGCATCACCATACCTGGCTAATTTTTGTATTTTTTAGTAGAGATGGGGTTTCACCATGTTGGCCAGGCTGGTCTCGACTCCTGGCCTCAAGCAATCCACCTACCTCGCCTCCCAAAGTGCTGGGATTATAGGCGTGAGGCACCGTGCCTGGGCCAGGATGGTTAAGCCTTCTTGTTGAATTGAATCCTTTATCATTATATAATGTCCTTCTTTACTCTTGTTAGTTTAAAATCAATTTTATCTGATAGAAGAATAGTGACTTCTGTTCTTTTTTTGTTTTCCATTTACATCATAGATCTTTCTCAGTCCCTTTGCTTTAAGGCTGTGGGTGTCATTACATGTGAGATGGGTATCTTAAAGACAGCAGAGGAAGGGTCTTGTTTTTTTAAAAATCTGATTTGCTACTCTATGCCTTTTAAGTAGAGTGTTTAGGCAGTTTACTTTCAAGATTAATGTTGATATGTGAGGTTTTGTTCCTGTCATAGCATTGCCATTTAGTTGCTTTGTAGTTTCAATTGTGTAGTTGCTTTATACAGTCTGTGGGCTATGTGCTTGCATGTGCCTTTGTGGAGGCAAATTTCATTCTTTTGTTTCCATGTTTAGAACTCTGTTAAGCATCTCTTGTTGGGTCAGTCTGGTGGTGACAAATTCCCTTAGCAATTGCTTATCTGAGAAAGACTTTATTTCTCTTTCGTTTACACAGCTTACTTTGGTGGGATATAAAATTCTTAGCTGGCATTCTTTTTCTTTAAGAATGCTAAAAATGGGCCCCCAGTCTCTTCTGGCTTGTAAGGTTTATGCTGAGAAGTCCACTGTTAGTCTGATGGGTTTTCCTTTAGAAGTAATATAACCCTTTTCTCTAGTTGCCATTAAGATTTTTTTTTTCTTTCCCTTTGACCTTGGATAGTCTGGTGACTATGTGCTTGGGGGATGATTGTCTTGTGTAGTATCTCGCAAGAGTTCTCTAGATTTCTTATATCTGCCTGTCAATCTCTCTAGCAAGATTGGGGAAGTTTTCCTGAATTATACCCTCAAATATGTTTTCCACATTGCTTACTTTTTCTTCTTTTCTCTCAAGAATGCCAGTAAGTCATAGATTTGGTTGCTTTACACAATCCCATATTTCTTGAAGGCTTTGTTCATTTAAAAAGAATACTTAAAAAATATGTGTGGGTTGAGTCAAAAGAGTGGTCTTTGCGCTCTGAAATTCTTTATTCTGCTTGGCCAAGTCTGTTGTTAAGGCTTCCAACTGTAATTTGAAATTCCTGTAGGGAGTCTTTCAATTCCAGAAGTTTTGTTTGGTTCTTTCTTAATATAGCTATGTCTTCTTTCAAATCTTGGATGGTTTTTCTGGCTTCTTTGTGTTGGATTTCAACTTTCTCTTGGATCTCATTGAGTTTCCTTGCCATCCATATTTTGAATTCTATATTTGTCATTTCAGACATTTCATTCTGGTTAGGATCCATTGCTTAGAAGCTGGTGGGATACTTTGGAGGTGATGAAACACCCTGGCTTTTTGTATTGCCAGAGTTCTTGTGCTGGCTCCTTTTCAGCTGAGAGAGCTGATGCTTTTTTTTTTTTTTTAAATTTGCTATCATTTAGGTGGAGGTTCTTGATATTTTATTCTTTTATCCCTTAGGGGTATGACTCTGGTGTATATTGTGTGTGATTGATTGGTTGGCTATGTTTCTGGGTGCTTCCAGGATACCAAGGCTCTGTATTGTTTCTTGGATGCAGATAGGTAGCTTTCTCAGATGTTGCTTGTAGTAGTGATGTAATTTTGCTTGGTGGTGTAAGTCAGGCTGCAGTCTAGTAGGTGCGCTTAAGAGTAAGAGCCGACAGGGAGGAGTGGGAGTACAGGCAATGGAAAAATGAAAAGAGCGCCCTCTTCAGGCATGCATTCATCTTCAGTGGGGTGGAGCAACGGGAGAAGCTGTCTCTTTCTACCCCAACAGGAGGAGCCGCTGCTGAGTAGGCAACAGTGCACCGAGGAGGGGCACCAGGGATAAGAGATGACCCCCTCTTGATGTCTGTTCCGGGCTTTGGTGTGCCTCCTACAGAAGTTAGCATGGTGCTTGCATTTCCTTTGACCTAAGGGTGGCTTTGACATTCTGTGCTCCCCACCTTCTTAGAGGGGACCATGCCAAGAGTTAGATTTCCACGGGAGTGGAGTGCACTGCCCTCTAGCTTCTCAAATGGTGGTGGGGCACTTTCCCCCAACTGACCAAGAGAGTAGGCTGGGGCACCCAGCAATGACACATGCAGACTGGTTCCACGTCACAAAACTGCCCCTGGCTGCCAGTCTTGCCACCCAGGAGAAACCATGGCTTCAGCAGCTCTCCTCCTGCTGCAGCCCTGCAACGGGAGAGAGCCTAATTCCTGCACCTACTGCTGGGCACCTCCATGTTTGCTGCTCAATTCTGGCTGTGGAGGGCTTTTCCCCCATTCCAAAGCAAGTGCTCCAATGTCTAGCCTGAGACTAAAATGCCTGTTATGGCCACTGCTGCCATGTTGCCAAATAATGTCTCTAAACTCTCAAAATGGTGCCAGCTGTGAGCTTGTGACTGGAGAGGGTGGAGCCCCTCTCAGGAAAGCATGGAAAAAAGCTGTGGGGAGTGTGGTTTGCTTGCCTCTCAGTCTCACAGAAACCTGTGGCAGGGCACTGGCTATTGTTCTAGGTATGCATAGGAGAGTCTGGCTTCCTTGTCCCTCAGCTGGGTAGTGGCCACGGCCACATCAGTTTAAATTCAGGCTGAAGGCGGGGCCCAACCCAGTGTTACACCCTCAAAATGGCATCTTGGGCCTAGGACCAGAGAGAGAATGGGGCACCACCCAGGCAAGCAGTGTGAGCAAGAAGCTGTGGAGAGTGCAGTGCGCTTGCATCCCAGTCTCAACAGCAGCTCATAGCAGTGTGGCAAGTACCCTCCTGGATGCATGGAAGTGCCCATTCTCCCTCCTCCCTCCTTGGAACAGTGCACCAGCTGCAGCCATGTCTATAGATCCCAGGAATCTGAGACAGCAGGTCATTGCTGGGGAAAAGCCATACAACTGTGTTGACTAGACTCACCTGAGACCGCTACTTGGCACTTAACATTTCCAGGCAAGCCTGTTAGTTTATGTAATACTCTTGCCTTATCACCTCCTGAGACGGCTATTTTGCCTCTTCTATTCTCTTCTCAAATCCTCAACATGCCCTTCTCATCTTCTATTGTAGTTGAATATGCAACAGTTGTCAGAATCAAAATGGAATCACTTGCGTTAAAAAACCCTTACAAATAGAGTTGGGGAAGGGCACGAGGGAGGGTTCTCCGCACCAGTGCCTGATAAGAAGGACTATCACAGAAGACTGCAAAACCCACAGGTTCCACAAAGGTAATTGCAACCTTACACACACAAAATATACTTTTGTGAGAACGTCTGTCCAGAAACTGCTAATCTTGGACTGGCACCCTCTTATTGTTGATCCTTAGTGCCAAGGATAATTGTCTGAAAGCAATTATATAATTCGCCTTACTTTTTTTCATTAAAAACCTTTGTCTTTACCTCCGTGAATACACACATAGTTACTATGGCACACATATCCCCATTGCAATGCTCTGTTTCCAATAAGCAGAATTTTTAGAGTGTCCCTCTGTATTTCTTAGTTTGACAAAATGGTGTCTCGAGTGGGACTGAAGTGAGCTCAGCTTGAATGGGTTGGTGGCTCCGGAATCAAGTGTGGTACCACCTGAGCTCTTTGCACTCTGCTTCTGTCAGTTACCTTTTCTGCCCTGGTGAATCTCGAGTTTTTGGACTCCCTGTCTTTGGTGAGTTCTTTTTTATTTTATTCATGTTCTGATTTGGTTATAAGGCCACCTCAATAAAGAACTTTGCATCTGTCCTGGGATGACAGAAGACTTTGTTTTTCTGGCAAACCATTTCTGGTATAAGAACAATGTCCTTCTGGTTTCAGTACTCTGGTTTCTACAGAATTTATCTTCTGTCTGGTTCTCCATGCCTGGTTTAATATTTTGTTTGGTCTGTGCATTAGTCTGTTCTTGCATTGCTATAAAGAAATACCTGCGACTGGATAATTTATAAAGAAAAGAGGTTTGATTGGCTCACAGTTCTTCAAGCTGTACAGGAAGCATGATGCTAGCACTGCTTGGCTTCTGGGGAGGCCTCAGGGAACTTTCAACAATGGCCGAAGGTGAAGGGGAAGGAGGCACTTCTGTGGCTGGAGCAGGAGCAAGCGGGGCGGGGGAGGTGCTACACATTTTTTTTTTCCAGTTTCCAAATGGTTATTTTATCAGATTGTTTGAACATTTAATTTATCCTGTTTGCAATCCAAAGTAGTTATCTGAAGTTTGCTGTTTTGTGTGTATGTGTGTGTTTACTTTTATTGTATATTTTTCTAAACTCTTTGGCGTAATTTTCTGGGGGCGTTCAGACTGCCAAAATACAAGTCAGGAGAGGGCGTTTTCTTTGTGCTGCCAATTCTGATCATTTAAATTTTGGTTTGGTTTGTGACTTTTTTGTTTTTGAAGTCTGCGCTATTTGTAACAATTGTACTTACATTTTTCTATATTCTCTAACGCCAGAGTTTTCTTTTTCTCCCCCCTCCCCCTCACTTCTACATTCACAGTTGAACCATAGTATTAGGAAAGGCGCCTTACTGAAAAGATCAGGATAGGAGCTCTGACCATTCGTCAGTGTTTCCCTAGAGTAAAAAAAAAAAAAAAACAAAACAAAACGAAAAAAACAAAACCTAAAGAGCGTCTTTCCTCTGTGTTTTTTTTTTTTTGTTTTTTTTTACATCTCTTGTGCTGCACCAGTAGACAGAACTTGGGTTCGTTTTATGAAATGCAACATCTAACCCCTTGTTTTCTGGGAAAAAGAAACTGTAATGACTTGAACTTGAGAATGTGGATACCGCCTCACTCACACACACTCATTCTCAGACTGTAAAAAATCCCTCACCCTCCTTCTAGCCGGCAAGCATACAGTACCGTGTGGCAAAGGTACAGAGAAGGTGGGCTTGAGACCCAGGCTCCATCTTTCTCCTCAGTAGCAAAGGCCAGGCTGCCTTTTACAACAAAGCACCACAGCTGAACCCAGTCCCTCCTCCTCCCCGAAACCAGGCATTCCACTCGGCACCGGCCAAAAGACAGAAAAACTACTTCTAGCCTCTCCTGGGAAGAGATAGCTTTTCTTTTTTCTTTTCTTTTCTCTTTTCTTTCGCTCTTTCTCTCTTTCTTTCTTTCTTTTTCTTTCTTTCTTCTTTTTTTATAAGTAACTCCATTGTTTTTCTCTTTTCCAAGATAGCCAATGTTATGGTTTTCTACGAAGTCAGTGCTTACTTAGCTCACTGACAGTGCTGCTGTTGGCGGCGGCGGCTGCGGCTGCTGCTGTGGCAGGATTTTCAATGTGGTGTGTTTTCAAGCCTCACTCACTCATCCTCTCATTCCCAAACATTCAGCATCCATGCACACTCCTCACTTCCAGGTTTTTCAAAAGATTGGAGATTTCCAGTGGGGGTCCTCAGGTTATCATCCCAGTGGTAACAGATCAAGCTTGGTCCTTCAGTTTCTTGAATTCTTTTGTTGCCCGTGTAGCAAGGGTTTTTGCTTTGTTCGTCTTCGATCTCCGCCGTTCAGTTAACAATTCATGGATCAGTGGCCTAGCTTCTACTAGTTTCAGTACATCCTTCCCAAATGCTGTATATAAGTCCCCTATTAGTCCAGCAGCACAAGCTACTACTCCGTCTGTATGATCCTCATCTCCAGCAATGTGGTCAATGCAAAGTTCTCAAGAGAACTCACTCACTCACTATCATGAGGACAGCACCGAGGGGATGGTGCTGAACCATTCATGAGAAACCGCCCCCATGATCCAGTCGCCTCCCACTAGGCCCCTCTCCAACACTGGGGATTACAATTTGACATGAGATTTGAGTGGGGACACAGATCCAAACCGTATCTGTCTGCATACTTGGCTTAAAATTTTTATGAACACTCTTACTTTTGGTTTCATTTTGGTCAGGTCACATGTATCTGTAAGTGATTTGGCTCTTTTCTCCCTTGTTTCTGAACATGTTCTGAGAGGAAAAAAAAAAAAACATTCTAAATGGTGGGCATAAGATGACCAATTAAAAGCTACTAGGTGGTCACTGCTATCTGTCATGCCAGTTCAAATTACTCACATTCTTTGACAGGATTTCTAGGATTTTTTTTTTGCCCTTGAGAGATAAACAAGAAGTGGAACGCGATTATCAAATTCTAAAGGCATACCACTAAAACCTTCCTTTGGGATTCCAGTCAGCTGTATCATAGTTGATTCTCATGTACATTTTAAAACTGATGGGCAAATTACACCAAGAAAAATGTAGAGCACAAATGGTCATTATTCACAGGCTCTAAGAAAACTGCAGCCAACTATAGGGTTAACATGTAGATTCTTCCAAGTTCTCTGTCTACTTTTTTCTGCTTATTTTGACTCTGATGACTTTTCTCCTGGCATTAGGATGAATTCACTGGTTATGGCATTCCAGCCTCTCTCTCTCTCTATTTAAATATATATATTATGTATATTTGATAAATATATTTAACATAATATATATTAAATATATATACAATATTAAATATATATAATATATATATTAAATATATATACAATATTATATATTATATATATTAAATATATATACTTAAATAAAGATAGGGTCTCACTCTGTCACCTAGGCTAGAGTACAATGGCATGATCATAGCTCACTGCAGCCTCCAACTCCTGGGATCAAGTGATCTTCTTGCCTCAGCCTCTTGAGTAGCTAGGACCACATTTGAGTACAATCACACCCAGCTAATTTTGTTATTTTTTTGTAGAGACAGGGGCCTCACTATGTTACCCAGGATGGTCTTGGACTCCTGACCTCAAGCCCTCCTCCTGCCTCAGCCTCCCACAGCTGGGATTATAGGCATGAGCCACCATGTCCTGCCCCTAGCCAAGATTATTTAAAAAGGAGTCTTAAAGGGCTTTCAAATCAATAGCTTTACAAATTACAATAGCTCCATGACAACTAACAACCTAGACACCTTTTGGAAATGAAAATTCAGGTTTGCCCAACTAACAACTACTCAAGGTGATGGAAAAATTAAAGGATTGACATTCTAAAAGAAAAGAACTAAATAAATATTTATAAAAGTTAGGCTACCAGATCAAACAAGTCAAAACCTTGAGCTCAGAGTAATAATATAAGGAAGGTATCTCCACCCAGCATAAAAATTGCTTTACCGGCCAGGCACGGTGGCTCACGCCTGTAATCCCAGCACTTTGGGAGGCCGAGGTGGGCGGATCACGAGGTCAGGAGATCAAGACCATCCTGGCTAACACGGTGAAACCCGTCTCTACTAAAAATACAAAAAAAAGTTATCCAGGCGTGGTGGCGGGCGCCTGTAGTCCCAGCTGCTCAGGAGGCTGAGGCAGGAGAATGGTGTGAACCCGGGAGGCAGAGCTTGCAGTGAGCCAAGATAGTGCCACTGCAGTCCGGCCTGGGCAAAAGAGCAAGACTCTGTCTCAAAAAAAAAAAAAAAAATTGCTTTACCACATAGGGGCAAAGCAATTAAATGAGCACTCACAGAAAATATATAATAATTAACCCAAATACCTTTTAGTTTATGTGACTTACATAAATCTTTGATAAATAAGCTAGTTTTAATTTGTTGATAAAAATAGAAAGGCCTTTAAAATGGTCAGCATATACTTTTGCCTGGGTTTGCTGGCCAGATAAGATTATTTTATTTTATTATTATTTTTTGAGACAGTGTCTTATTCTGTCATCCAGGCTGGAGTGCAGTGGCATGATCCTTGGCTCATGGCAACCTCTGCTTCCCAGGTTCAAACGGTTCTCCTGCCTCAGCGTCCTGAGTAGCTGGGATTACAAGTGTCTGCCACCATACCCAGCTAATTTTTGTATTTTTAGTAGAGACAGGGTTTTGTCATGTTGGCCAGGCTGGTCTCGAGCTCCTGACCTCAGGTGATCCACCTGCCTCAGCCTCCCAAAGTGCTGGAATTACAGGCATGAGCCACTGTGCCTGGCCTGGCCAAATGGGATTATATTTGCCTCTGCTAAATGGTTTAAGGTCATAAAACTAGAAGCCCTGCCCCCAAACAGACTAATCTTTTTTTTTGTAACTCTTTGATAAATAAGACTAATTTAACATTGTTGATTTAGTAAAAACAGTTGTATCTTCTGAGGTATTGGCAAAATATCCACATATGTAAAGTTACTTGTTACTCAGGTGAATACCTGATATTCACAGGCTACAGAAAAGGGCTAACAGGGAAATGACTTAAAATGATGACTAGTTTTGTCTACTATTTTAGTTTTCGTAAGTAATCTGGGTATAATTGTTTAAAATAAATCAATATAAATGGGATTCACATTTATAAACTTTTCATGCAATTTGAAATCTTAACATTATTAAATTAAGTGATACTAAATGTCTGGGTTATTTTTAAGTAAGACAAAATACTAAAACATACATTGCTAAACATAAATATAAGTTTATTCTCGGCATCTTAAATTTTATAGGAAGACTAAATAAATTTAGATCTACTAATACAAAATAAAAATTGTGTTATGGGGAAACATACTTCTAAAAATTATAACATGGTTCTCCATCTATAAAATACTAATATGTGACAGGCAGCTCAAAATTTTTTGCTTCCTAGGTTTTCACTAGAATTTAAGGTTACTAAGAGTTAAAAATTCTAATTAATATATATGATTCTGTCTACAAAGTACACAAAAATCATTTGATGAGAAAAATTAGGCTTTAAAAATGTGTTCTTTATTGAGAAAAAAACAGTAATTTTGTCTAATTCAGAGATTATTTAAAGGCTGTTTCAAAATATGTGTTTAGGAATGAAATAGAAGCAATATAGAAAGTAACCAGTAAGTAGGAGAGAGAGATGAAGAAACTAATAGGTATGGAACTGTAATTTTGGTAAGGAAGGTTAAAAAGAAAAGAGAATAATTTTATATGAGAAATAATCTTGTGTGGTATATTTTTGTCCCAAAGTAAAACGACTACTTATTTGGGAAAGAGGAAGTATAGGACAAAGCAGAAGGTCTAAGCATGTCATGGAAGGTCTGTGCAAGTCGTGAAAGGTTTGTGAAGGATGCATTTATGAAATAACTTTTTTGTGTGTGATCAAGTAGGCTATAATTAGAAGGGAATTATTAAAATTATTTCTAAACATTGAGGTTTTATGTTAAAAATTACTAATACAAAACTAAAAATGTGATCCCTTATGTTAGAACAAGGTTTTCTTGAAGTAAAATTACAAGAAGTTTTGATTTTAATTATGAAATGTTTAACAGCTGTATTCTAAACTGCAGCCTCTTCCTGTTTTATGGTTTCTATTTATGTCACATTTCGTCCTGAGATTTATTTAATTTCCCTAGTTTCAGTTGAAAATGCTGTCTTCATCATTTAGAATGGTAATTTTATTTCTTGAGGTAGAGTTTTCCTCTACCTCAAGGTTCATATCTCAGAAATTCAACTTCCCAGGTTCATATCTCAGAAGTTCAACTGTGGCTGTGTCTCCCTGCAGGTGATTTGCAAGTAATATATTCATTTTTTTGCCTGGCTGGGGTGATAATTTTAACTTTTTCATCAGCTCAGTTCTCTAGTTCTAACTCTGCTGGTATGGCCTGACACTGAAATACTTATCTTGAAGGTCTAGAAGAGAAATGTTTTTGTTTAATATAACTTGATTTCTTGATGTTTCTGAATTGTTCCATATAACCAGGAACTTCCTATGCTTTTTTTTTTTTTTTTTTTGAGATGGAGTCTCACTCTGTCACCCAGGCTAGAGTGCAGTGGCGCGATCTCGGCTCACAGCAAGCTCTGCCTCCCAGCTTCATGCCATTTTCCTGCCTCAGCCTCCCAAGTAGCTGGGACTACAGGTGCCCGCCACCGTGCCCATCTAATTTTCTGTATTTTTTAGTAGAGACGGGGTTTCACTGTGTTAGCCAGGATGGTCTCGATCTCCTGACCTCGTGATCCACCTGCCTCGGCCTCCCAAAGTGCTGGGATTATAGGCATGAGCCACCGCACCCGGCCGAACTTCCCATGCTTTTACCAAGAGCCATGCATTCTGCTGCTCAAGATACTAGTTTTTTGTTTACATTCCTCTATAATGTGTTTTACACTCATAACCTTGGACACACAATCTTATTAAGTTTAAAGAGCTTTTTCATCAGGTTCAACTTCCATGTTATATAAGTGAGCTTCCTGTAAGAATAAGCAATCACATTTCAGGATGTTTGTCTTATCTTTTTGGTAACTGTTCTAAGAAACAGTCTTTATTAGGTTTTTGATTACTTAGGAAAACTGAGCTTTGAAAGCTTTAAGTCTACAAAAAATCCATGTAACTTTCTGTATTGCTCTTGAAATTTTTGACTATCACTATGGTTAAATGAATGACTATTATTTCACAGTGACCTGTAATCCTGTTTTAATCAGGTGTTTAAAAAGTTTTGGCATCTTTGACAGGCTTTCCCAATGTAAAAATTCTAAATTAAGTCTTTTTGATCTTGAATTTGCTTTGTGATTTTTCCAGTTGAGCCCCAGGAGAGCATCAAAAGATGTATCTCTCATTTTTATAGAGATAGTAAATGATTAGGCTTGTTTGGTAAATTATACAGGATGCTTTGTCAGATGATAAGTGATGCTAGATTTTTTCAGTCACATTTGTGATACGTTATTTTAATTTTTATTTTCTTGAGATGGAGTCTAACTCTGTTGCCCAGGCTGGAGTGCAATGGTGTGATCTCAGCTCACTGCAACCTCTGCCTCCTGGGTTCAAGGGATTCTCCTGCCTCAGCCTCCTGAGTAGCTGGGATTACAGGTGTGTGCCACCACACTTGGCTGATTTTTGTATTTTTTGTAGAGACAGGGTTTCACTGTGTTGGACAGGCTGGTCTCGAACTCCTGACCTCAGGTGATTCACCCACCTCAGTCTCCCAAAGTGCTGGGATTACAGGTGTGAGCCACCACACCCAGCCACATTTCTGATATGTTATTGACCTAAATGTTCCAAAATTGTATTAAACTCTTAAAAATATAATGTCATTAGACATAATTTGGGTTATGTTGTATGCCACAAAAATAACCAAATTTCTGTGTCAATTGCTGATGATAATGAACTTACATCAGATTTTTAAACATGATTATTTTAAGTTTTTGTCATCCACAGTTATTGTTTTGATTTTTCTCTAAAAGCATTTGGAATCAGATTCATGGAGGAGACTCTAACAAGTACACTTAAATATGGGCTTCTAATAATTTTAAGATCAATTAACTAAATAAAAATCTTTAGGCCAGGCACAGTGGCTCACGCCACTGTGGCCAATCTTTTCCCTCCAAAATGGGACCAGAGCAGCAGTTTGGGACAGGTTCATCTCAGCACCAAGGAACATAATCCTAACTACAGAATGATTTGATCAGCAATGCTTTTAGAGAAAGACCTTGATCAAACGGGGGAAAGGTGGAAGTTGTCAGAATCAAAATGGAGTTAATTGTATTAAAAACTCTGACAAGCCAGGTGCGATGGCTTATGCCTGTAATGCCAGCACTTTGGTAGGCTGAGGCAGGCGATCATGAGGTCAGAAGATCAAGACCATCCTGGCTAAGACAGTGAAACCCCATCTTTACTAAAAATACAAAAAAATTACCCATGTGTGGTAGCACGTGCCTGTAGTCCCAGCTACTCAGGAGGCCAAGGCAGGAAAATCTCTTGAACCCAGGAGGCAGAGGTTGCAGTGAGCTGAGATCACACTATTGCACTCCAGCCTAGGTGACAGAGTGAGACTCCATCTCCAAACAACAACAACAACAACCAAAACAAAAAACAAAAAACAAAAAAAACTCTGACAATTAGAGCTGGAGGAGGCTGTAAAAAGGAAGGGAGGGTTATTTTTTAAAAAAATTTTTTGAGACTTTGTCTCACTCTGCTGCCCAGTCTGGAATGCAGTGGTACAATCTTGGCTCACTGCAACCTGTGCCTCCCAGGCTCAAGCAATCCTCCTGTCTTAGTTTCCCAAGTAGCTGGAACTACAGGCACATGCCACCACATCCAGTTAATTTTTAAAATTTTTTGTGGAGACAAGGTCTCTCTATATTGCACAGCCCAGTCTCGAGCTCCTGGGCTTAAGTGATCTTCTTGCCTTGTCCTTCCAAAGTGCTGGGATTACAGGTGTGAACCACCATACCCAGCGAAAGGGAGAGTTCTTATGCATGAATGCCTGATAACAAGAACCATCACAAAAGACTGCAAAATCCGTAACTTTGCACAAAGGCCGTTGCAAACTTACACACACAAAAATGCTTCTGTAGGGACATCTGTTCAGTTGCTGCCTGTCCAGCCTTGCACTGGTGCTGCCCTTGTTATTTATCCTTGTAGCCAAGAATTAAAACAATTATGTAATCCTCGCTTTTCGTTTAATAACCTTTGTCTTCCTTTACCTCCCTGAATATGCAGATAGTTTACTATGGCACACATCATTTTCTTTTAGAGAGTCTCACTTTCTGTTGCTTAAGTTGACAAATATCTTGAATAATCAGAAAATAAAGGCAGTAAGATGAGAATCACTTCCATCTTTCTTCTATCAATTCCAACCAAACAGTTTCCGTCTGTCTGCACATAATCTGCCTTTCCCTCTGTTGTAAGGAGGGGTTCCCATTCTTACCCAAGGCCAACCTATTACTTGTGAATTAAATTCCACCCCTTGCTCCCTTAAGGACCACATCATGATGATGTCTTTACTCTCCTGCATCATTTGTTCCCTCTCTACGGTATTATTGTAAGCATATAAACATGCTTTACTATCATTCATCTTGTAAAAGTTTCTCTTGATTCCATGACCCTCCAGTTCCTGTTCAATTTTTCTGCTATTGTTTTCCTGAAAAACCACTCAAATTAATCAACTGTTCTCATCGACCTCACATCCTTGCTCCCATTCCAATCCAGCTTTCATTTCACCTGATCCATGGAAACAGCCTTCATTGAGCTTATTGATGGCCTATATTTGTTAATATTTTGCCAGTGCCAGGGGGCAATTCTCTCTCTCTGTTTACTTGGCCTCTCATGCTTTTGCAATCCTGCATATGCAGTTCCAACAGGCTTGGACTCTCCTCTTTGAATGGTAAAGGTCCTCTAACTCCGGGGCCCAAGTGTGATGATGTGCAGATATTATCTGGCAGGACTCAAGTAAATTGTTCCAGTTCCTGCCTTACCTCTCAGCACACATCTGGCCACTGCTGAACAGAGACATGACAGAGCATCAACAGCAAGACCCTTTGACGAATTCACTGTTCATCGCAATGCTCCTCCAAATAGTAAAGAATTGGAAATAACCTAAATGTCCAAACTCAATGGAATAGTGAGTCAAAATGTATCAAGGTACAAGGCCTTTAATAAAGGTGACCTTTCCTTGTCTTCCCAGCCTGGGGGCTGATGTTAGCTCCTTCCCTGCTCCTGTCCCATAGAGCCTGAGGCACACCCTTGGCTACTTCATGCCTTTAGGCCCATTTCCTGGCAGAGTTACTCCAATAAGTCTCCACTCAGTGTTATAGAGGGTGGGAAGAGATGACATAGTAGAGAGAGAGGGCTGGAGGTTCAGGTGTGGGGAGGAGTCAGCCAGTGGCCTCACTGCGAGGGCAAAGGTGCCTGTGCAAGGCTGTTGAGGGAGAGGTTCCATCTAGGCAGGGTTTGGGGCCCAGGACACTCAGTTAAGGGTCCAGTTTTAGCTCCTTCAGCAGAGCTGGCTGGCTGAAAGTATCATGATCTTGGGCCAACAGAGGGAGTCTACGGTCAATTCTGGCATGTTGAAGTGGCCTTGAGAAAACAAAAAAACATGGTAAATATGAAATTACTTCAGAGTGACTGGCAAACTTGGTACAAGCAGCCCATGGGTGTTGCGGACCCTCCACAGTATTTCTGGACAAATTCACTACTTACCCAAAGTCCTTGTGAGCTTCGTGGACTTTATTGGAGACTGTCTATGGGAGAGAAGATGGATGAGGTGAGGCATTGGGAAGGGTTGATAGGTGAGTTAAAGCCTTTTTTGGCTTGTCTACCAGTGGTGGTGGGGTCTCTTTTGGCTCTGCCCCCCATGCAGGACCCAGCTGTTCAGATGGGAGTAAGCTCCCGCCCCTACTGCCTCCCTATTCTTGCTGCCCATGCAGAGCCACCCGCCCTCTGAAACGAATCTTGAAACCCAGCCTCCATACCCTGCGTGGCTCACAGCTATTGACCACAGTGTTTCCCCAGCCCCCCGATCAATTTTCTTCTTAAGGGAATCTGAAGCTGTTCACCTTATTTCTTCTCAATATTTAGCATATTGTTGGGGATCAACCCCACAATCTGACTCATGCAGTAGAAAGTGGGACAATAGGTCATCTTGTGTCTCAGGGTGTGAGGCTGTGGCCAGGTCTCGTTTCAGACCTGCTAGTCTTTCTATGCAGAGACTTTTCTGCTCCTCAGCACCCTAGTACAGGAAGGCAGGAGGGGAACTAGGCTTCTGTTAAGCTGGGACAGCCAGTGACTGCCCACTGCAGGGCAGATGGAACAGGGGTGGCAGAGGTAAAGATATGCCTGGCACATGAAATATGGTCAGGTGTTCACAGGTAGACCAGGGAGTGAGTGATGGCAGTGAGGGCCAGGCTATCATGGGCAGGCTCCCCACACCCCTCAGGAACATGGCTGAGTCCAGAAACAGCCATCAGCTGCACAGTTGTAAAGGTGAAATTAAGATGTAGAACAAGGCCTGGGGGTATAGCTCAGGGGTAGAGCATTTGACTGCAGATCAAGAGGTCCCTGGTTCAAATCCAGGTGCCCCCTACTCCTTTTAATCACTGAAGTAGTGCTGGGATTTCTGCCCCTTCTCCCCACATGTGACCATTAGTGTGCTTTATTTCATGATAAAATTTAGTGTCTGGATCAGGACAAGGTCTAAGAATCCTCCCCTGATCATCACCCAGATAATATAATAACTACTAGGGTCACATTTGATTGAAGAGGCTGACCAAGTTAGCCCAGACAAGCCCCACCTCTGGGTCTCTTGCCCTTCATGGTCTATATGTGGACTTCACTCTTTCTCGGTATCTCATTTCCTCAGCCTCACCGTAATCTCCAGAAAGAAGGCACAGACTATCTCTTTGATCTTGCTACTACTGTGAAGTATGAAGGAAATATATGCAGCTTCCTACTTCCCAGAGGCAACTATAATGATTTGAAAGCAATGTCAAATTTGTCTCTTTTCTCTGTCTGTGAATTTCTTGAGGGTGCTGCCTCTACCACAGATTCTGGCCATCTGATTCTCCCTTCTTCTCTCCTAACACTTCTTATTTCTTACCCTGGGTCAGTATTTCCTTGATGAGAATACCTAGAAGTAGACCCTACTTTATGTTATATTTAAAAATTCAGATAAAATATTTAAGACATATAAATGGCTGTAACAAATCTTCAGAGGATTCTCTACTTTCCTTGATGAACAAAGAAATCTGAAATAATCTTTTATATGAGGACAAATAAAAATTCAGAAAATATGAAAAACATCTCATTAAAAGTATCAAAGAGCTAACACAGGAAATACCAGATGTAGATTTGGAAATGATGGGAAGCAGAAGTTTAAATCTCCTTACTAAAAGCTGCTTTGGCCCTGAGTGTATTTTTCAGTTCAGAAGAGGCAGCTGAGAAGCTGAGTGGAGCTTTTGGGAACCTCTCAAAACTAAGGAGATAGAAGTCAGAATTCTGGGCCCAACTACAGTACAGACGTTGATGAGACCAACTCTGACTTTGGACTAGGAACTCAAGGGGTAAGAGTAAATGGAAAGAAATTCAGCCACTGTAAGAATTTGTGGCTAGGCTTTTTAACGTTTGAATGGCTCAGGAAAACTCAAACCTTGAAATTATATTAAGGTGTCCTGATTGCTCAGATACTTGGAAAAAGCAAATAAAGGAAGATATTATTATCCCTGGCCTTAGATTAGTTCTACAAATACAATTTTAAGTAAAATTTTAGCATACAGTCAAAGATAACCAAATACACAGGGAAGCAAAAAGCTATAAATGAGAATAAACAGAAATAACAGACCACAGAACTAAACAAAGGGACTTCGGATATTAGAACTACCAGAAACATTATAAAATAACAATGTTACTGTGTTGAGGGAGATAACAGCCAACCTTGAAAATTTCTTTTTTTTTTTTTTTAGTATTTATTGATCATTCTTGGGTGTTTCTGGCAGAGGGGGATTTGGCAGGGTCATAGGACAATAGTGGAGGGAAGGTCAGCAGATAAACATGTGAACAAAGGTCTCTGGTTTTCCTAGGCAGAGGGCCCTGCCGCCTTCCGCAGTGTTTGTGTCCCTGGGTACTTGAGATTAGGGAGTGGTGATGACTCTTAACGAGCATGCTGCCTTCAAGCATCTGTTTAACAAAGCACATCTTGTACCGACCTTAATCCATTTAACCCTTAGTGGACACAGCACATGTTTCAGAGAGCACGGGGTTGGGGGTAAGGTTATAGATTAACAGCATCCCAAGGCAGAAGAATTTTTCTTAGTACAGAACAAAATGGAGTCTCCTATGTCTACTTCTTTCTACACGGACACAGTAACAATCTGATCTGTCTTTCTTTTCCCCACATTTCCCCCTTTTCTATTCGACAAAACCACCATTGTCATCATGGCCCTTTCGCAATGAGCTGTTGGGTACACCTCCCAGACGGGGTGGCGGCCGGGCAGAGGGGCTCCTCACTTCCCAGATGGGGTGGCCGGGCAGAGGCGTCCCCCACCTCCCGGACGGGGCGGCTGGCCAGGCGGGGGCTGAAAATTTCAAAAGGAAATTTAAAAGCATGAAAAGTAACTTAGGAGATTTGAAAAGAAGACAAAATATAAATTTTATGTCTAAAAATATAATTAACTAAAATTAAAAAACTCAACGAATAGGTCTATGCTCTTCTTAATAAATAGATTAAGCCAGTGAGAAAAATCAGTGAACTAAAACATTGGGAGGAAAAACTATCCATCATAAAACATGGAAAGACAAAAGTATGGCAAACACAGAAGATAAGGTAATTAATATAGAAGAACAGAAAGAAAAAAGACTAAAGAAAAGTGAACAGAGCCTAAGGGACCCATGGGACACCACAAGTGGACCAACATATGCATTGTGAGACTCCCAGAAGAGGAAGGGAGAGAAAATGGGACAGAGAGAATATTTGAAGAAATAATAGTTGAAAACTATTGATGAAAGTTTTGATGAACTTTCATTGATGGAAGACATGAATATAAAAATCTAAGAAGCTCAGCTGGGCACAGTGGCTCATGCCTGTAATCCCAGTACTTTGGAAGGCTGAGGTGGGTGGATCACTTGAGGTCAGGAGTTTGAGACCAGCCTGGTCAACTTGGTGCAATCCCATCTCTACTGGGAAAAAAAAAAAAAAAAAAAAGGCAGGCGTGGTGGCACATGCCTGTAATCCCAGCTACTCAGGAGGCTGAGGCATGAGAATTGCTTGAACCCAAGAGGCAGAGGTTAAAGTGAGCTGAGATTACCCTGCTGTCATTCTCTCCTGTGCGGCTGTTCTCTTGCGCAGTGGTCGTTTATCTCCATCCACCTTCTCTCCTACCTAAGTGCGTGCCACCACCTGATGGAAGATTCGTGGACATGGGGATGAGGCCCCTGAGGCCCCAGAACTATCTTTTCAGTTGTGAACTAAAGGCCAACAAAGATTATCACTTTAAGGTAGATAATAATGAAAATGAGCACCAGTTACCTTTAACAACAATCAATTTAGGGGCTGGTGCAATGGATGAATTGGACATTGTTGAAGCAGAGGCAATGAATTACGAAGGCAGTCCAATTAAAGTAATACTGGCAACTTTGAAAATGTCTGTACAGCCAACGGTTTCCCTTGGGGGCTTTGAAATAACACCACCAGTGGTCTTACAGTTGAAGTGTGGTTCAGGGCCAGTGCATACTAGTGGACAGCATTTAGTAGCTGTGGAGGAAGAAGCAGAGTCAGAAGATGAAGACAAGGAGGTTGTGAAACTCTTAAGTATATCTGGAAAGCAGTCTGCCCCTGGCGGTGGTAGCAAGCTTCCACAGAAAAAAGTAAAACTTGCTGCTGATGAAGATGATGATGGTGATGATTTTGATGATAAGGAAACTGAAGAAAAACACCAGTGAAGAAATCTATATGAGATACTCCAAGCCAAAAATGCACAAAAGTCAAATCAGAATGGAAAAGACTCAAAACCACCATCAACATCAAGATCAAATGGACAAGAATCCTTCAAAAAACAGCAAAAAACTCCTGAAACACCAGAAGGACCTAGTTCTGTAGAAGACATTAAAGCAAAAATGCAAGCAAGTATAGAAAAAGGTGGTTCTATTCCCACAGTGGAAGCCAAGTTCATCAGTTATGTGAAGAATTGCTTCCAGATGACTGACCAGGAGGCTATTCAAGATCTCTGGCAGTAGAGGAAGTCTCTTTAAGAAAATAGTTTAAACAATTTATTAAAAAATTTTCATCTCATTTCTGTAACAGTTGATATCTGGCTGTCTTTTTTATAATGCAGAGTGAGAAATTTCCCTACCGTGTTTGATAACTGTTGTCTAGGTTCCATTGCCAAGAACGTGTTGTCCAAAATGCCTGTTTAGTTTTTAAAGATGGAACTCTGCCCTTTGTTTGGTTTTAGGTATGTATGGAATGTTATAATAGGACATAGTAATAGCGGTGGTTAGATATGGAAATGGTAGGGAGACAAAAATATGCATGTGAAATAAAGCTCAGTAATTTAATAAAAAAAAAAAGTGAGCTGAGCTCATGCCACTGCACTGCAGCCTGAGTGACAGAATGAAACCCTGTCTCAAAAAAAGAAGAAAAAAACAACTAAGAAGCTCAATGCATTCCAAGTAAGATGACCTAAAGAGACCCACACTGAGGAAAAAGGACACCCTATTCAAAAAATGGTGTGAAAAAATCGGCAAGCCACATGTAGAAGAATGAAACTGAATCCTCATCTCTCACCTTATACAAAAATCAACTCAAGATGAATCAAAGACTTAAATCTAAGACCTGAAACTGTAAAAATTCCAGAAGATAACATTGGAAAACCCTTCTAGACATTGGCTTAGGCAAATACTTCATGATCAAGAACCCAAATGCAAACACAACAAAAACAAAGATAAATAGATGGGACTTCATTAAACTAAAAAGCTTCTGCCCAGCAAAAGAAATAATCGGCAGAGTAAACAGGCAACTCACAGAGTGGGAGAAAATATTCATAATCTATACATCTGACAAAGGACTAATGTCCAGAATATACAAGGAACTCAAATCATCAAGAAAAAAACAAACAATCCCATAAGGAAGTGGGCTAAGGACATAAATAAACAATTCTCAAAAGAAGATATACAAATGACCAACAAACGTGATGAAATGCTCAACATCACGAGTTATCAGGGAAATGCAAATCAAAACCACAATGTGATACCACCTTACTCCTGCAAGAATGGACATAATAAAAATAAAATAAAATAGCTGTTGGCATGGATGTGGTGAAAAGGAGCTCTTTTAAACTGTTGGTGGGATTGTAAACTAGCACAACCACTGTAGAAAACAGTATAGAGATTCCTTAAAGAACTGAAAGTAGACCTACCATTTGATCCAGCAATCTCACTCCTGAATATCTGCCCAGAGGGAAAGAAGTCATTATATGAAAAAGATACTTGCACACGCATATTTATAGCAGCACAATTTGCAATTGCAAAAATACACAACCAGCCCAAATGGCCATCAATCAACGAGTGGATAAAGAAAATGTGATATATAGATAGATAGATAGATAGATAGATAGATAGATAGATAGATACACACACACACACACACACACACACACACACACCCCATGGAATACTACTCAGTCATAAAAAGGAACAAAATCATGGCATTCACAGCAACCGGGATGGAATTGAAGACCATTATTCTAAGTGGAGCAACTCAGAAATGGAAAACCAAACCATTCTATGTTTCCACTCATAAGTGGGAGCTAAGCTATGAGGACACAAAGGTATAAGAATGATACAATGGACTTTGGGGACTTGGGGGATAGGTGGCGGGGGCAAGGGATGAAAGACTACACATTGGGTATAGTGTACATTGCTTGGGTGTTGGGGGCACCAAAATCTCAGAAATCACCACTAAAGAACTTACTCATGTAACCACATACCACCTGTTCCCCCCCAAACCTATTGAAATTAAAAAAACCAAAGAGATCCACACTGAGACACATTATAATCAAACTTTCGATATCCAAAGACAAAGAGAACCTTTAAGCAACAAGAGAGAAGCAACTTATCACATAGAAGCGATCCTTAATAAGGTTATCAGTGGACTTCTCATCAGAAACTTTGGAGGCTGGAAGGCAGTGGGTTGATATATTCAAAGTGCTAAAAGGGAAAAAAACCCTTCAACCAAGAATCCTGTATTCAGCCAAACTGTCCTTTAAAAGTGAGAGAGAAATTGAGAAATTTCCAGAAAAATAATAGCTGAGGAGTTTGTTACCATTAGAATGGCCCTGCAAGAAATGCTCAAGCGGGGCCTTGCAGGATGGAATAAAAGAACATTAGACAGTAACATGAAGCCATATGAAAAAATAAAGATCTCAGTAAAGGTAAATACATGGGCAATTGTTAAAGTTAGTGTTACTGCAACAATAGTTGTAACTCCACTTTTTTTTTTTTTTACATAATGTAAGAGACTAATGCACTTAAAAGAATTATTAGTTCTTGTTTTTGGGCATATGATATATAAAGATGTGATTTTGTGACTTCAACAACTGAAAGGGGTAGTGATGGAGCTGTTAACAAACCAGAGTTTTTGTATGTTACTGAAGTTAAGTTGGCATGAATTCAAATCGGGGTGTTGTATTGTTATAATATTAAATGTAATCCCCATGATAACCACAAAGAAAATAGCTATAGAATATGTATGTATTAAAAAACCCATATATATATATATATATATACACATATATATATCTAAGAAGCTCAATGAATTCCAAGTAGGAGAAACTAAAGAGACCCACACTGAGATGCGTTATAATCAACTTTCAACATCCCAAGACAAAGAATCTTGAAAGTGACACACACACACACACATATATATATATATGAAAGAAATTTAAACATTTCACTACAAAAAGGAAAACAGTAACGCAGAAATGAGGGATAAAACTGCTAAGACGCATACAGAAGATGAATAGCAAAATGACAGAAGTAGTTTTCTCTTTATCAGTAATTACTTTAAATGTAAATGGATTAAACTTTAATCAAAAGGCAGAGTGGACACAAAAACATGATCCAACTATATGCTGTCTATAAAGGATTCACTTTAGACCTAAAGACACAAATAGATTGAAAGTGAAAAGATGCAAAAAGATATTCCATACAAATAGTAATCAAAAGAGAGAGGGGGTGGCAAAACTAATACCAGAAAAAATAGACCTTAAATCAAAAAAGATTACAACACAAAAAGGACATTATATATTAATAAAAAGCTTAGACCGGGTGTGGTGGTTCATGCCTGTAATTCCAACACTTTAGGGGGCCAAGGTAGGAGGATTGCTTGATGTCAGGAAGTTGAGACCTGTCTGAGCAACATAGTGACAATCTGTACAAAAAGTAAAAAATTAGTGGGGCATGATGGCATCTGCCTATAGTCCTAGCTACTTGGGAAGCTGAGGTGAGAGGACTGCTTGAGCCCAGGAGTTTGAGGCTGCAGTGAGCTATAATTGCACTACTATACTCCAGCCTGGGCAACAGAGTGAGACCCCAATCTCTCTTTAAAAAAAGTTCAGTACAACAAGAATATGTAGCAATTATAAACATTTATGTACCTAATAACACATGGAGCAAGAACCAAAACAACACAATTGAAGGGAGAAGTAGAAAGTACTCAAATAATAAAGACTTCAGCACTCCACTCACAATAATAAATAGAACAATCAGACTGACAATAAGTAAGGAAATAGAAGACTTAAACAAAATAAACTAATTATATGTAGTAGATATATATAGAACACTACCCAACAACAGCAGCAGACACATTTTTCTCAAGTGCACATGGAACATTTTCCAGGATAGATCATATTTTAGGCCACATATTAAGTTGCAATAGATTTAAAAAGATATCATACAAAATATATTCTTGAACCATAACAGGATGAATATAAATAACAGAAGTAAAACTGGAAAATTCACAAAATTGTGGAAATTAAACAACACATTCTTAAACAATCAATTGAAGAACAAATCAGAAAGAAAATCAGAAATACTTAGAGACAGTGAAAGTGAAAACATAACATACCAAAACTTATGGAACACAGTGAAAGCAATGATAAGGGAAAAATTTATAGCTATAAACACTTACATTAAAAAACATGAAAAATTTCAAATTAATAACCTAGCTTTACAACTTAAGGAACTAGAAATTGAAGAACATGTTTTATTTTTTATTATACTTTAAGTTCTAGGGTACATGTGCACAATGTGCAGGTTTGTTACATATGTATACATGAGCCATGTTGGTATGCTGCATCCATTAACTCATCATTTATATTAGGTATATCTCCTAATGCTATCCCTCCCCCCTCCCCTCACCCCACGACAGGCCCCAGTGTGTTATGTTCCCCATCCTGTGTCCAAGTGTTCTCATTGTTCAATTCCCACCTATGAGTGAGAACATGCAGCGTTTGGTTTTCTGTCCTTGAAATAGTTTGCTTAGAATGATGGTTTCCAGTTTCAAGTCCCTACAAAGAACATGAACTCATCCTTTTTTATGGCTGCATAGTATTCCATGGTGTATATGTGCCCCATTTTCTTAATCCAGTCTATCATTAATGGACATTTGGGTTGGTTCCAAGTCTTTGCTATTGTGAATAGTGTCGCAATAAACATGTGTGCATGTGTCTTTATAGCAGCATGATTTGTAATCCTTTGGGTATATACCCAGTAATGGGATGGCTGGGTCAAATGGTATTTCTTTTTTTTTTTTTTATTATACTTTAAGTTCTAGGGTACATGTGCACAAGGTGCAGGTTTGTTACATATGTATACATGTGCCATATTGTTGTGCTGCACCCATTAACACGTCATTTACATTAGGTATATCTCCTAATGCTATCCCTCCCCCCAGTCCCCACCCCATGACAGACCCCGGTGTGTGGTGTTCCCCACCCTCTGTCCAAGTGTTCTTGTTCAGTTCCCACCTATGAGTGAGAACATGCGGTGTTTGGTTTTCTGTCCTTGCGATAGTTTGCTCAGAATGATGGTTTCCAGCTTCATCCATGTCCCTACAAAGGACATGAACTCGTCCTTTTTTATGGCTGCATAGTGTTCCATGGTGTATATGTGCCACATTTTCTTAATCCAGTCTATCATTGTTGGACATTTGGGTTGGTTCCAAGTCTTTGCTATTGTGAATAGTGCTGCAGTAATCATACATGTGCATGTGTCTTTATAGCAGCATGATTTATAATCCTTTGGGTATATACCCAGTAATGGGATAGCTGAGTCAAATGGTATTTCTAGTTCTAGATCCTTGAGGAATCACCACACTGTCTTCCACAATGGTTGAACTAGTTTATAGTCCCACCAACAGTGTAAAAGTGTTGCTATTTCTCCACATCTCCTCCAGCACCTGTTGTTTCCTGACTTTTCAATGATCACCATTCTAACTGGTGTGAGATGGTATCTCAATGTGATTTTGATTTGCATTTCTCTGATGGCCAGTGATGATGAGCATTTTTTCACGTGTCTGTTGGCCACATAAATGTCTTCTTTTGAGAAGTGTCTGTTCATATCCTTCGCACACTTTTTGATGAGGTTGTTTGATTTTTTTCTTGTAAATTTGTTTAAGTTCTTTGTAGTCTCTGGATATTAGCCCTTTGTCAGATGGGTAGATTGTAAAAATTTTCTCCCATTCTGTAGGTTGCCTATTCACTCTGATGGTATTTTCTTTTGCTGTGCAGAAGCTCTTTAGTTTAATTAGATCCCATTTTTCAGTTTTGGCTTTTGTTGCCATTGCTTTTGGTGTTTTAGACATGAAGTCCTTGCCCATGCCTATGTCCTGAATGGTATTGACTAGGTTTTCTTTTAGGGTTTTTATGGTTTTAGGTCTAATATTTAAGTCTTTAATCCATCTTGAGTTAATTTTTTGTATAAGGTGTAAGGAAAGGATCTAGTTTCAGCTTTCTACATATGGCTAGCCAGTTTTCCCAGCACCATTTATTAAATAGGGAATTCTTTTCCCATTTCTAGTTTTTGTCAGGTTTGTCAAAAATCAGATGGTTGTAGATGTGTGGTATTATTTCTGAGGGCTCTGTTCTGTTCCCTTGGTCTATATCTCTGTTTTGGTACCAGTATCATGCTGTTTTGGTTACTGTAGCTTTGTAGTATAGTTTGAAGTCAGGAAGCGTGATGCCTCCAGCTTTGTTCTTTTGGCTTAGGATTGTCTTGGCAATGAGGGCTCTTTTTTGGTTCCATAGGAACTTTAAAGTAGTTTTTTTCCAATCTGTGAAGAAAGTCATTGGTAGCTTGATGGGGATGGCATTGAATCTATAAATTACCTTGGGCAGGATGGCCATTTTCACGATATTGATTCTTCCTATCCATGAGCATGGAATGTTCTTCCATTTGTTTGTGTTCTCTTTTATTTCATTGAGCAGTGGTTTGTAGTTCTCCTTGAAGAGGTCCTTCACATCCCTTGTAAGTTGGATTCCTAGGTATTTTATTCTCTTTGAAGCAGTTGGGAATGGGACTTCACTCATGATTTGGTTCTGTGTCTGTTATTTGTGTATAGGAATGCTTGTGATTTTTGCACAATGATTTTATATCCTGAGACTTTGCTGAAGTTGCTTATCAGCTTAAGGAGATTTTGGGCTGAGACGATGGGGTTTTCTAAATATACAATCATGTCATCTGCAAACAGGGACAATTTGACTTCCTCTTTTCCTAATTGACTACCCTTTATTTCTTTCTCCTGCCTGATTGCCTGGCCAGAACTTCCAACACTATGTTGAATAGGAGTGGTGAGAGAGGGCATCCCTGTCTTGTGCTGGTTTTCAAAGGGAATGCTTCAAGTTTTTGTCCATTCAGTATGATATTGACTGTGGGTTTGTCATAAATAGCTCTTATTATTTTGAGATACATCCCATCAATACCTAGTTTATTGAGAGTTTTTAGCATGAAGGGCTGTTGAATTTTGTCAAAGGCCTTTTCTGCATCTATTGAGATAATCATTTTGTCTTTGGTTCTGTTTATATGATGGATTATATTTATTGATTTGTGTATGTTGAACCAGCCTTGCATTCCAGGGATGAAGCCCACTTGATCATGGTGGATAAGCTTTTTGACATGCTGCTGGATTTGGTTTGCCAGTATTTTATTGAGGATTTTTGCATTGATGTTCATCAGGGATATTGGTCTAAAATTCTCTTTTTTTGTGTCTCTGCCAAGCTTTGGTATCAGGATGATGCTGGCCTCATAAAAGGAGTTAGGGAGGATTCTCCCTTTTTCTATTGATTGGAATCATTTCAGAAGGAATGGTACCAGCTCCTCTTTGTATCTCTGATAGAATTCGGCTGTGAATCCGTCTGGTCCTGGACTTTTTTTGGTTGGTAGACTATTAATTATTGCCTCAATTTCAGAGCCTGTTATTGGTCTATTCAGGGATTCAACTTCTTCCTGGTTTAGTCTTGGGAGGGTGTATGTGTCCAGGAATTTATCCATTTCTTTTTTTTTTATTATTATACTTTAAGTTTTAGGGTACATGTGCATAATGTGCAGGTTAGTTACATATGAATACATGTGCCATGCTGGTGTGCTGCACCCATTAACTCGTCATTTATCATTAGGTATATCTCCTAAAGCTATCCCTCCCCCCTCCCACCACCCCACAGCAGTCCCCAGAGTGTGATGTTCCCCTTCCTGTGTCCATGTGTTCTCATTGTTCAATTCCCACCTATGAGTGAGAATATGCAGTGTTTGGTTTTTTGTTCTTGCGATAGTTTACTGAGAATGATGATTTCCAATTTCATCCATGTCCCTACAAAGGACATGAACTCATCATTTTTTATGGCTGCACAGTATTCCATGGTGTATATGTGCCACGTTTTCTTAATCCAGTCTATCATTGTTGGACATTTGGGTTGGTTCCAAGTCTTTGCTATTGTGAATAGTGCTGCAATTCTAGTTTATTTGCCTAGAGGTGTTTATAGTATTCTCTGATGGTAGTTTGTATTTCTGTGGGATAGGTTGTGATATCCCCTTTATAATTTTTTTACTGCATCTATTTGATTCTTCTGTCTTTTCTTATTTATTAGTCTTGCTAGTGGTCTATCAATTTTGTTGACATTTTCAAAAACCCAGCTCCTAGATTCATTGATTTTTTGAAGGGTTTTTTGTGTCTCTATCTCCTTCAGTTCTGTTGTCGTCTTAGTTATTTCTTGCCTTCTGCTAGCTTTTGAATGTATTTGCTCTTGCTTCTCTAGTTCTTTTAATTGTGATGTTAGGGTGTCAATTTTAGATCTTTCCTGCTTTGTCTTGTGGGCATTTAGTTCTATAAATTTCCCTCTACACACTGCTTTAAATGTGTCCCAGAGATCTGGTATGTTGTGTCTTTGTTCTCGTTGGTGTCAAAGAACGTCTTTATTTCTGCCTCCATTTTGTTATGTACTCAGTAATCATTCAGGAGCAGATCGTTCATTTTTCATGTAGTTGGGCGGTTTTGAGTGAGTTTCTTAATCCTGAGTTCTAGTTTGATTGCACTGTGGTCTGAGAGACAGTTTGTTATAATTTCTGTTCTTTTACATTTGCTGAGGAGTGCTTTACTTCCAACTATGTGGTCAATTTTGGAATAAGTGTTATGTGGTGCTGAGAAGAATGTATATTCTGTTGATTTGGGGTGGAGAGTTCTGTAGATGTCTATTAGGTCCACTTGGTGCAGAGCTGAGTTCAATTCCTGGATATCCTTGTTAACTTTCTGTCTCGTTAATCTGTCTAATGTTGACAGCGTTAAAGTCTCCCATTATTATTGTGTGGGAGTCTAAGTCTCTTTGTAGGTCTCTAAGGACTTTATGAATCTGGGTGCTCCTGTATTGGGTGCATATATATTTAGGATAGTTAGCTCTTCTTGTTGAATCGATCCCTTTACCATTATGTAATGGCCTTCCTTGTCTCTTTTGATTTTTGTTGGTTTAAAGTCTGTTTTATCAGAGACTAGGATTGCAAACCCTGCTTTTTTTTTGTTTTCCATTTGCTTGGTAGATCTTCCTCCATCCCTTTATTTTGAGCCTGTGTGTGTCTCTGCATGTGAGATAGGCCTCCTGAATCCAGCACACTGATGACTCTTTATCCAATTTGCCAGTCTGTGTCTTTTGATTGGAGCATTTAGCCCATTTGCATTTAAGGTTAATATTGTTGTGTGTGAATTTGATCCTGTCATTATGATGTTAGCTGGTTATTTTGCTCGTTAGTTGATGCAGTTTCTTCCTAGTCTCAATGGTCTTTACATTTTGGCATATTTTTGCAGTGTCTGGTACCAGTTGTTCCTTTCCATGTTTAGTGCTTCCTTCAGGAGCTCTTGTAAGGCAGGCTTGGTGGTGACAAAATCTCTCAGCATTTGCTTGTCTGTAAAGGATTTTATTTCTACTTCACTTATGAAGCTTAGTTTGGCTGGATATGAAATTCTGGGTTGAAAATTCTTTTCTTTAAGAATGTTGAATATTGCCCCCCACTCTCTTCTGGCTTGTAGAGTTTCTGCCGAGAGATCTGCTGTTAATCTGATGGGCTTCCCTTTGTGGGTAACCCGACCTGTCTCTCTGGCTGCCCTTAACATTTTTTCCTTCATTTCAACTTTGGTGATTCTGACAATTATGTGTCTTGGAGTTGCTCTTCTCAGGGAGTATCTTTGTGGTGTTCTCTGTATTTCCTGAATTTGAATGTTGGCCTGCCTTGCTAGGTTGGGGAAGTTCTCCCGGATAATATCCTAAGAATGTTTTCCAACTTGGTCCCATTCTCCCCATCACTTTCAGGTACACCAATCAGATGTAGATTTGGTCTTTTTACATAGTCCCATATTTCTTGGAGGCTTTGTTCATTTCTTTTTATTCTTTTCTCTCTAAACTTCTCTTCTTGCTTCATTTCATTCATTTGATCTTCCATCACTGATACCCTTTCTTCCACTTGATCAAATCAGCTACTGAAGGTTGTGCATGCCTCATGTAGTTCTTGTGCCATGGTTTTCAGCTCCATCAGGTCATTTAAGGTCTTCTCTATGCTGTTTATTCTAGTTAGCCATTCATCTAATCTTTTTTCAAGGTTTTTAGCTTCTTTGCAATGGGTTCAAACATCCTCGTTTAGCTTGGAGAAGTTTGTTATTACCAATTGTCTGAAGCCTTCTTCTCTCAACTTGTCAAAGTCATTCTCCGTCCAGCTTTGTTCCGTTGTTGGTGAGGAGCTGTGTTCCTTTGGAGGAGAAGAGGTGCTCTGATTTTTAGAATTTTCAGCTTTTCTGCTCTGGTTTGTCCCCATCTTTGTGGTTTTATCTACCTTTGGTCTTTGATGATGGTGACGTGTATATGGTGTTTTGGTGTGGATGTCCTTTCTGTTTGTTAGTTTTCCTTCTAACAATCAGGACCCTCAGCTGCAGATCTGTTGGAATTTGCTGGAGGTCCACTCCAGACCCTGTTTGCCTGGGTATCACCAGCGGAGGCTGCAGAACAGTAAATATTGCAGAACGGCAAATTTTGCTGCCTGATCCTTCCTCTGGAAGCTTCGTCTCAGAGGGGCACCCAGCTGTATGAGATGTCAGTTGGCCCCTACTGTGAGGTGCCTCCCAGTTAGTCTACTCAGGGGTCAGAGACCCACTTGAGGAGGCAGTCTGTTCTTTCTCATATCTCAAACTCCATGCTGGGAGAACTACTACTCTCTTCAAGGCTGTCAGACAGGAAGGTTTAAGTCTGCAGAAGTTTCTGCTGCATTTTGTTCAGCTATTCTCTGCCTCTAGAGTGGAGTCTACAGAGGCAGGCAGGCCTCCTTGAGCTGCGGTGGGCTCCACCCAGTTTGAGCTTCCTGGTAGCTTTGTTTACCTACTCAAGCTTCAGCTATGGCAGATGCCCCTCCCCCAGCCTAGCTGCCACCTTGCAGTTGGACATGCTAGCAGCGAGTGAGGCTCCATGGGCATGGGACCCGCTGAGCCAGGTGCAGGATATAATCTCCTGTTGTGCTGTTTGCTAAGACTCTTGGAAAAGCACAGTATGAGGGTGGGAGTGTCCCGATTTTCCAGGTACCGTCTGTCACAGCTTCCCTTGGCTAGGAAAGGGAATTCTCTGACCCCTTGTACTTCCTGGGTGAGGCGATGCCCTGCCCTGCTTCGGCTCATGCTCCGTGGGCTGCACCCCATGTCTGACAAGCCCCAGTGAGATGAACCCGGTACCTCAGTTGGAAATGCAGAAATCACCCATCTTCTGTGTTGCTCATGCTGGGAGCTATAGACTGGAGCTGTTCCTATTCGTGAAGAACATGTTAACCCTCAAACTAGAAGAACAAAATAATAAAGATTAGAGCAGAAATAAATGAAATAGAGAATTAAAAATTATGAAACAAAATAGAGAATAGAAAATCAATAAAACCAAAAGTTGGTTCTTTGAAAAAATCAACAAAATTTACAAATCTTTAGCTAGGTGGACTAACAAAAAAAGAGAGAAGGCTGAAATTATTAAAATAAGAAATGAGGCCAGGTGCGGTGGCTCATGCCTGTAATCCCAGCACTTTGGGAGGCTGAGGCGGGCAGATCACAAGGTCAGGAGATCGAGACCGTCCTGGCTAACACGGTGAAACCCCGTCTGTACTAAAAACACAAAAAATTAGCTGGGTGTGGTGGCGGACACCTGTAGTCCTATCTACTTGGGAGGCTGAGGCAGGAGAATGGCATGAACCCAGGAGGCGAAGCTTGCAGTGAGCCGCGATTGTGCCACTGCACTCCAGCCTGGGCAACAGAGTGAGACTCCATCTCAAAATAAATAAATAAATAAATAAATAAATAAAAGTGGGGATTTACTACCAGTTTTACAGAAGTAAAAACGGTTGTATTTTACAATCCTTTGTATTATGAACAATTGTATGCCAAGACAATGTATAACCAAGATAAAATGGACAAATTTCTAAAAACACAAAACTTATTAAGACTAAATCACTAAAAATTAGAAAATCTATATAGACCCATGACTAGTAAGGAGATTTAATCAGTGATCAAAATATCTCTCAAAAGAGAAAAGCCTTGAACCTGATTCACTGGTGAATTCTACTAAAATATTTAAAGATGAATTAACACCAACCCTTTTTAAACTTTTCCAAAAAAATTGAAGAGGAGGTCATACCTTCTAAATTATTTTATGAGCTCAGTATTACTGCAATACCAAAGCCAAATAAGGACACTAGAAGGGAAGGAAACTAAAGACCAATATATCTTGTGCACTTTTGTATTACTTTGTTTTCACACTGCTGATAAAGACATACCTGAGACTGAGTAATTTATAGGGAAAAGAGGTTTAATGGAATCACAGTTCCACATGGCTGGGGAGGCCTCACAATCATGGCAGAAGGCAGAAGTCATGTCTTACATGGTGGCAGGTGAGAGAGAATGACAGCCAAGTGCAAGGGGTTTCCCCTTATAAAACTGCATCAGAACTTGTGAGACTTATTCACTACCATGAGAACATATGAACATTTATGCAAAAATCCTTGATAAAATAGTAGCAAATAAAATTAAGTAGCATATTAAAAGGTTTATACTCCATAAGTAAGTGGAATTTATTTGTGGGATGCAACAATGGTTCAACATATGAAAACTGATCAATATAATACACTATACTAACAGAATGAAGGGAAAACACACGTGATCATCTAAATTGATGCAGAAACAATATTTGACAAACTTCATCACACTTTTATGATAAAAACACTTGAGAAACTAGGAATAGAAAGAAACTACGTCAACATAATAAAAGTCATATGTGAAAAACCATATGTGAAAAACTATAGCAAATACCATACTCAATGGTGAAAGGCTGAAATATTTTTCTGTAAGATAAGAAACAAGGCAAAGAGGCTCACTTTCACCACATCTATTCAACATAGTACTGGAAGTTCTAACCAGAGAAATTAGGCAAGAAAAACAAAACAGACATTCAAATTGGAATAGAAGAAGTAAAATGATCTCTGTTCACAGGTGATATAGTCTTACAAATAGAAAACCCCAAATATCCCACAAAACTGTTAAAACTAATAAATGAATTCAGCAAAGTGGCAGCATACAAAGTCAACACACAAAAATCAGTTGCATTTCTAACAATTAACAATCTGAAAAGGAAATTATGAAAATAGCTCAATTTATTATAGTATCAAAATGGTAAAATACTTAGGAATTAACCAAGAAAACAAAATACCTGTACAATGAAAACCAGAAAACATTGTTGAAATAAATTTAAAGAAAACCAATAAATGGAACCTCATCCCATGTTCATGGATTGGAAGACTTGATATAGTTAAGATGACAACACTACCTGTATTAGTCTGTTCTCTTACTGCTATGAAGAAATACTCAAGACTAGGTAATTTATAAAGGAAAGAGGTTTAATTGCCTCACAGTTCTGCATGGCTGGGGAGGGCTGAGGAAACTTACAATCATGGCAGAAGGGGAAGCAAACACATCCTTCTTCACATGGTGTCAGGAGAGAGAAGTATGAGACCCTAGTAAAGAGGGAAGTTCCTTATAAAACCATCAGATCTTGTGAGAACTTACTCACTATCCTGAGAATGGCATGGGAGAAAGCACCTCTTTGATTCAATTACCTTGCACAAGGTCCTTCCCCCAACACTGGATTACAATTTGGATTACAATTCAAGAAGAGATTTAGGTGTGACACAGAACTAGGCCATATCATTCCACCACTGGCCCCTCCCAAATTTCACCTTTATTATGTTTCAAAACACAATTATGCCTTCTCAACACTTTCCCAATGTCTTAGCTTATTTCACCATTAACTCAAAAGTCCAAGTCTATAGTCTTATCTGAGACAAGGCAAGTTCCTTCTACCTATGATCCTGTAAAATTAAAAGCAAGTTAGTTACTTCATAGAAACAATGGAGATACAAGCATTAGGTAAATACACCTGTGCCAAATGGGAGAAATTGGTCAAAACGAAGGGACTACAGGGCATGCTGATGCAAGAGGTGGGCTCCTATGGCCTTAAGCAGCTCTGCCTCTGTGGCTTTGCAGGGTGTGGTCCACCCTCCTGGCTGCTTTCATGGGCTGGCATTGAGTGTCTGTGGCTTTTCCAGGTGCATGATGGTCCAAGCTGTCAGCGAATCTACCATTCTGGGGTCTGGAGGACGATGACCCTCTTCTCAGAGCTCCAGGGGCAGTGTCCCAGTGGGGACTCTGTGTGGGGGCTCTGACCCCACATTTTTCTTTTGCACTGTTCTAGCAGAGGTTCTCCGTGAGGGCTCCACTCCTGCAGCAAACTTCTGCCTGGACATCCAGGAATTTCCACACATCCTCTGAAATCTAAATCTTGACTTCTGTGTACCTGCAGGCCCAACACCCACATGTAAGCCATCAAGCCTTGGGTCTTACACCCCCTGAAGCAATGGTCTGAACTGTACATTGGCCCCTTTTAGCCATGGCTGGAGCTGAAGCAGCTGGGACTCAGGGGACCATGTCCCAAGGCTGCATAAAGCAGGGGTACCCTGGGCCTGGCCCATGAAACCATTTTTCCCTCCTAGGCCTCTAAGCCTGTGATGTGAGGGGCTGCTGTAAAGCTTTCTGACATGCCCTGGAGGCATGTTCCCCACTGTCTTGGTAATTAACATTTGGCTCCTTATTACTTATGCAAATTTCTGCAGCCAGCTTGAATTTCTCCCCAGAAACTGGGGTTTTCTTTTCTGTTGCATCACCAGGCTACAAATTTTCCAACCTTTTATGGTCTGCTTCCTCTTGAATGCTTTGCCTGATACCCTAAATCATCTCTTTCAAGTTCAAAGTTCCACAGATCTTTGGAGCCAGGGCAAAATGCCACCAGTCTCTTTGCTAAAACATAGGAAGAGTTACTTTTACTCCAATTCCCAAAAAGTTCCTCATCTCCATCTGAGACTACCTCAGCCTGGACTTCATTATCCAAATTATTATGAGCATTTTAGTCAAAGCCATTCAATAAGTCTCTAGGAGGTTCCTAGAGAAGGAAGGAACAGGAAGACATTTTTCTGTCTTCTTCTGAGCCCCTCAAACTGTTCCAACCTCTGCCTGTTACCCAGTTCCAATGTTCCTTCCATATTTTTGAGTATGCTTATAGCAGCACCCCACTCTCTGTGGTATCAATTTACTGTATTAGTCTGTTCTCATGCTGCTATGAAGAAATATCCAAGACTGGGTAATAAAGGAAAGAGGTTTAGTTGACTCACAGTTCCACATGGTTGGAGAGGCCTCAGGAACCTTACAGTTATGGCGGAGGGGGAAGCAAATACGTCCTTCTTCACATGGCAGCAGGAGAGAGAAGTATGAATGCTGAACGAAGGAGGAAGCCCCTTATAAAATCATCAGCTATCATGAGAACTTACTCAATATCATGAGAATAGAATGGGGGAAACCGCCCGCATGATTCAACTACCTCTCATGAGGTCCTTACCCCAACACGTGGGGATTACAATTTGGATTACAATTCAAGATGAGATTTGGGTGGGGACACAGAGCCAGACCATATCACTACCCAAAGCAATCTAGGCTTTTGCTCAGTTTAGGAGTTGTAAGCTGCAGTGAGCTATGAATAGGGGTTGCATTGATAGGGATTTAATGCAATCCCTATCAGTATCCAATAATTTTTTTGGCAGAAATAGAGAAAATAAAATTCCTAAAATTCATATGAGTCTCAAGGGACACTAAATTGTCAAAACAAATCTTGAAAAAGAAGAACAAAGCTGAAAGACTCATGCTTCCTGGTTTTAAAGCTTATTACAAGGCTACAGCAACCAAAACAGTGTGTTATTGACATGAAGATAGACATATAATCAGTGGAATAGAATAGAGTGCCCCAAAATAAATCTTTGTGTATATGATCAAGTGATTTTTTGACAAGGGTGCCAGGACCATTCAGTGGGGGATAAGACAGTCGTTTCAACAGATGTTGCTGGGAATTGACTATCCACATGGAAAAGAATGCAGTTGCACCCTGACTTAACACTATATACAAAAATCAACTCAAAATTAGCAAAAGCCTAAATTTAAGACCTAAACTATAAAACTTTTATTTATTCATTTATTTTTTGAGATGGAGTCTCACTCTGTTGGCCAGGCTAGGGTAAAGTGCTGTGACCTCGGCTCACTGCAATCTCTGCCTCCCGGGTTCAAGCAATTCTCCTGCCTCAGCCTCCCAATTAGCTGAGATTACAGGCATGTGCCACCATGCCCACGTAATTTTTGTATTTTTAGTAGAGACATGGTTTCATCATGTTGGCCTGGCTGGTCTCAAACTCCTGACCTCAAGTGATCTGCCCACCTTGGCCTCCAAAAGTGCAGGGATTACAGGCATGAGCCACCATGCCTGGCCATTGAACTATAAAAGTTTTAGAAGAAAATATAAGGCAAAATCTTCACAGCATTAGATTTGACAATCCTTTCTTAGATATAACATTAAAGACAAGTGCAGCAAAAGACAAAGTAGACAAATTGGGCTTCATTAAAGTTAAAAAGCTTTGTGCATCAAAAGATAATATCAACAGAGTGAAAAGGCAACCCAGAGAATAGGAGAAAATACTTGCAAATCATATACAGTTAACCTTCCACATTTGTGGGTTCCACATCTATGGATTCAACCAAATACAGGTCGAGAATATTTGGACAAAAAATTCATAAAGTTTCAAAAAGCAAAACTTGAATTTGTCACTTGCTGAGTACTACATTGAACCCATGAAAATGAAGTGATGTGTAGACATTGCATTAGCTTTTATAAGTAATCTAGAGATGATTTGAAATATGCAGGAGGGTGGCTGGGCGAGATGGCTCACGCCTGTAATCCCAGGACTTTGGGAGGCTGAGGTGGGTGGATCACTTGAGGTCAGGAGTTCGAGACCAGCCTGGCCAACATGGTGAAACCCCATTTCTACTAAAAATACAAAAATTAGCCAGGCATGGGGGCACGTGCCTGTAATCCCAGTTACTTGGGAGGCTGAGGCAGGAGAATAGCTCAAACCTGGGAGGCGAAGGTTGCAGTGAGCCAAGATAGCGCCACTGTACTCCAGCCTGGGTGACAGAGCAAGACTCCATCTCAAAAAAAAAAAAAATGCAGAAGGATGTGCATAGGTTATATGCAAATGCTATGTCATTTTATCTAAGGGACATGAGCAGCCACAGATTTTGGGATCTATGGGTGTTCCTGGAACAAATACCCTACAGACACAAAGGGACAACTGTATCTGATACTGGATTAATATCCAGAGTATACAGAGAACTGTTAAAACTCAACAACTCCAAAAACAAACGACTTGAAAAAATGGGCAAAAGACTTGAATAGACATTTCTCCAAAGATGGTATACAAGTGGCTAAAAATCACATGAAAAGATGCTCAACATCACCATTCATTAGGGAAATGCAAGTCAAAACTACAATGAGATACCACCTTATACCCAGTAGGACTGCTACTATCACAAAAACAGAAAATAACAAGTATTGACAAGGATGTGGAGAACTTGAAACCCTTGTACACTATTGGTGGAATGTAAACGGGTACAGCTGCTGTGGAAAACAGTATGGTGTTTCCTCAAAAAATTAAAGATAGAATTATCATATGATCCAGCCATTCCACTTCTGGATATATACCCAAAAAAATTGAAAGCAAGGTCTTGAAGAGATATTTACCCCTGTGTTCATAGCAGCATCGTTCACTACAGTTGAAACATGGAAGTAGCCCAAGTGTTCATTGGAGGATGAATGGATAAGCAAAATGTGGTCTGTCCATACAATGGAATACTATTCAGCCTTACAAGAAAGGGAAATTCTGACACATGCCACAATGTGGATGAACCTTGAGGACATTATGGTGAGTGGAATAAACCAATCACAAAAAGACAAATACTGTGTTATTCTACATATATGAGATACTTAGAGTAGTCAAAATCATAGAGATGGAAAGTAAAATGGTGGTTGCCAGCGGCTGGGGGCAGTGGAGAATGGGGAGTTACTATTTAATGGGTATAATATTTCAGTTTTACAAGATGAAAGGAGTTCTGGAGATGTATGGTGATGATGGTTGCACAACATTATGAATTTTTTTTTTTTTTGAGATGGAGTTTCGCTCTTGTTGCCCAAGCTGGAGTGCAATGGTGTGATCTCAGCTTACTGCAACCTCCGCCTCCTGGGTTCAAGCGATTTTCCTACCTCAGCCTCCTGAGTAGCTGGGATTACAAGCGTGCACCACCACGCCTGGCTAATTTTTTGTATTTTTAGTAGAAACGGGGTTTCACTATGTTGGCCAGGCTGGTCTCAAACTCCTGACCTCAGGTGATTGCCTGCATTGGCCTCCCAAAGTGCTGGGATTACAAGTGCGAGCCACTGCGCCCAGCCATGAATGTTTTTAATACCACTGAATCATACACTTAAAAGTGGTTAAGAGGGTAAATGATATAGGTTTTTTTAACCACAATAATAAAAATTGAGAACAAACCTCTCAATTATATTTCTATATTTCAGCCACAGTAAGAAATTTAAATTGTATAAAAGATAACATTTATTATAGCATAAAAATTTCAAACATCTAGGAATAACTCTAACAAAATATGGGAAATGCTCTACTTAGAAAAAGCATAAAACCTTGAGAGGAGGCAGGGCATTGTAGCTCACACCTGTAATCCCAGCACTTTTGGAGGCTGAAGCAGGAGGATTGCTTGAGGTCAAGAGTGAGAGATGGCCGGGTGCGGTGGCTCACACCTGTAATCCCAGCACTTTGGGAGGCCGAGGCGGGCGGATCACAAGGTCAGGAGATCGAAACCATCCTGGCCAACATGGTGTAATCCGGTCTTTACTAAAAATACAAAAACTTAGGCGGGCGTGGTGACGGGCACCTGTAGTCCTAGCTACACAGGAGGCTGAGGCAGAAGAACGGCATGAACCTGGGAGGTGGAGCTTGCAGTGAGCCGAGATCATGCCATGCACTCCAGCCTGGGTGACAGAGCAAGACTCTGTCTCAAAAAAAAGAGTGAGAGACCAGCCTGGACAACATAGCAAGACCGCATCTCTACAAAAAACAACAATAATAAATTAGCTGGGTGTGGTGGTGCATGCCTGTAGTTCCAACTACTTGGGAGGCTGAGGTGGCAGAATTTCTTGAGCCCAGGAATTAGAGGCTGCAGTGAGGTATGATCACAGCACTGTATTCCAGCCTAGATGACAGGGTGAGACTCTCAGTTACATGCAACATTATGTGTGAATTTTCCAAATGTAATATTCTGAATTTCAGGGTGGTTGTGAATTTTCGAGGAGTACCATTTGTTATGGGTTGAACTGTGTCCTCGCAATGGATGTGTTGAAGTCCTAACTTCTCCTCACATTGCATACTTGTGAATGTGATCTTATTTGGAAATAGGGTCTTTGCAAATGTAATCAAATTAAGATGAGGTCATTAGGGTGGGCCTTAATCCAATATTGCTGGTGTTCTTATAAGAAGAGAAGAAGAGGCAGAGACAGACACACACAGAGGAGCACACCATGTGAAGACACAGACACAAGAACGTCACGTGGGAACAGAGGCAGAGCCTGGAGTGATGCTTCTACAGCCAAAGAACAGCAAGGATTGCCAGCAACACTGGGAGCTGAGAAAAAGACCTGGAACACATTCTCCCCTGGAGTCTTCAGAGAGACTGTGGCCTTGCCGACAACTTGATTTCAGATTCCTGGCCTCCAGAACTGTGAGAAAATACAGTTCTGTTGTTTAAAACAACTCAGTGTGTGTGATTTTATCACAGCAGCCCTGGGAAATGAATACAGCATTCGCCCAGTACAGTTTATCAGGATTGAGTCCAACTGACTGCTTTCCACTTGTCCCATTTTTCTTTTATTTTTTATTTGCAGCCTTCTTTTGGATTAACTACAATTTTTTTCCACTTCATTTATTTGCTCTTCAAGCATGTGCTCTCCCTCCCCTTACCTCCCTTTGCTTGGCAAAGCCACAACTTTACAAAATGATACACTAGGAATTTCTGCAAGCAAATTTAAAAAGTCTACAGTTAATCATCTTTGTCCTCCTCCCAAATTACATAAAGATATTATAATACTTAAACTTGGATCAGCTCTTTCCTTATATGTTATTGTGACCAGTATTTTAGTTTTATATTTTAAAAAACCTGTAAGTTAGACATTAATGTGATGTTATATGGTCAATGAAATTTAGATTTACTTACATATCTACCGATTTCCCTGTTTAACACTCTTTTCGTATCTCAGTCCTCCTATCTGGGATCATTTTACTTTTCTCTAAAGTACATATTTTGGAATTTTTCTTTTTCTTTTTTTTTTCTGAGATGGAGTCTCGCCCTGTCGCCCAGGCTGGAGTGCAGTGGCACGATCTCGGCTCACTGCAGGCTCCGCCTCCCCGGTTCAAGCAATTCTCCTACTTCAGCCTCCTGAGTAGCTGGGATTACAGACACCCGCCACCACGCCTGGCTAAATTTTGTATTTTTAGTAGAGACGGGGTTTCACCTTCTTGGCCAGGCTGGTCTTGAACTCCACCTGCCTTGGCCTCCCAAAGTGCGGGGATTACAGGCCTGAGCCACTGCGCCCGGCCTGGAATTTTCTTTAGTAAGGATCTGTTGGTGGTAATTTTTCTCAGCAATTGTTTATTCTTGAAGAATCGTTTTTCAGGGAACAGAATTCTGACCTGGCTGTTATTTCCTCTCATTGAATGTGTTACCACACTATCTTCTGGCCAGCAGTGGGTGATTTCATATTTCTCACCAGCTACCCTCTAAAGGACCTAGTTCTCACCCATGGCCAGAAGATCAAGGTATATATTGCAAAGCCCAAGGACCAGGCGAGGGGGTATTGGGAAGATCAGAGGAGTGGGAGCTGAGAGAAACGCCAACTGCTCAGTGGGGGAGGGTGTCCTCTGATTCTTCAGCCTTTGCACAGAGACTCAGAAACTGGGCTCAGCAATGGGAAAATAAACTAGGACTCCTTTACCACCTTTCATGTTTAAAATGCTAGGGGGCACCCAGATTTGAACTGGGGACCTCTTGATCTGCAGTCAAATGCTCTACCCCTGAGCTATACCCCCAGTTACATTAGTAAGGTCCAATTAACAACCTTTCCCTGTGCAGCCACACCCAGACCTGCTGTCCTAGATTCCGCTTCAGGATGGGTTTCTGAGTTACAAGGCCTGACTTGCTGCCAACTCAACACCCTGTCTTAGAGGAAGCAACCAGTTCCTTCTCCCACAGCTCTGCCACCTCTCCACTCTCAGTTCCTGAGTAAGTGCAGGGATCTGGGGAGCAGTCCCCCGACAGCTGGAAGGCTCTCTAGTGACACCTATGTTGTGGGTTTTGTGCCGGGGCCTGCAAACAGAGACTCAAAATGCCCAATGGTTTGGCCAAGCCTGCAACACTTCAAAGATAGAACCCACATTTTCTGGATACTGGATTTGCCAGCTTTTCAGCTAAGATCACTTTTTAATGACCGCCCCCCACCCCCCACCGCCACCCACCGTGTGAAACCAGGACGACCTCCCTGAATTCTCCTTCAAATTCCACATTTGTTTAAGGCAGTTGAACTTTAAAACAGTATTTTAGCTTTTTTGCCTCATATATCGTGGTGCTTTGTTAGGGCAGCCCTAGAAAACTAAAACATTCCTCCACAATTATGTTGAATTCTCTCTGCTAAAGTAACTGGTGCAGTTTTTGTCTCAGAACTGGACCCTGAATGATACAGAAATAGCTACCAGTGGGGCACTAGGAAACATACCTTCAAGGAGGGTATTGGGATGGACTTGGTCTTGTCCTTGGTCTCTAAGGCAGTGCTGAGCACCTGGTTGGATCCTGAATTGTAGGGGATGGCCATAGGAAGAAGGTCATAAAGGCACTGTTTCATAAGCTCATCAGCTTCCTTCTGTGAGTGGACTGCACTATGGTCTCTACTCAAGTAAAACTCGATTTTGTCAGTTCGGCTCAAGGAGGAAAATGAATTCTTTAAAGGGGGCACCCAGAGTTGATCCAGGGACCTCTTGATCTACAGTTAAATGCTCTACCACTGAGCTATAATTGAGAATAGTATATAATTTATACTTTCTTATAGTTCCATACATACATACAGGTGCTCATGCTGACTCAACAGAGTTGCTGGTCCTGTTCAACTGTAAGTGGATCTCCTTATGCCATAACTATCTTCCTTTTCCAAAAAGAAACGAACATTTCTTGACATCAGCTTGGATGTCCACTGGAGGTTCTGTATGAGACAACAAAGTCTGTACCTGGCTTCGTATACAGGCAGAAGATGAAGCCCAGAGGGAAGGTGCTGCTTACAGAGCCAAGGATTCAAACTTTCTTTGCCAGCTTTTCAGTTGAGATCACTTTCTAATAACCCCCAGTGTGAGACCAAGATGACCTCCCTGAATTCTCCTTCAAATTCCACATTTGTTTAAGGCAGTTGAACATTAAAACAGTATTTTAGCTTTTTTGCCTCATATGTCGTGCCCCTTACAAAGCAGGTTCACTGTGCACTGGTTACCACTTCGGCCCACTGCATCTCAGGCTGCACCCTTACAGAATCCCTGGGGTGTTGCTTTGCCAGCCAGAAACCTCTATGACCAGTGGTGCCTTTGCCTGAGTTTTGCTCTGGCCTTCTGGGCTTGTTCTACCCACTCAGCCTGTCAGACAGTGCCCAGCTCACACTACTGGCCTGAATCCCACACTTGCCAAGGCAAGCCAGGCATGAAGTGGCAAGGGGTCCGTGAGTGAGCGTGGGGTCTGGCCACTGTCCATAGCCAGACACACTGGCTGTGGTGGGGCGGGCAGTTCCAGGCACTGGCATGGATGCCAGCTCCCTGCAAGGCTGGAGCTGGACCAAGCATACCATAAGCAGCTTCCACAGCTCACACCAGAAAATGCGGTGGTGCCTGGAAGCTCGGAGATGCCAGGAACCACAGAGCCCTAAAGGGGGTGTCACAGCCCTGGCTCAGGGAGCTCCTAGGTCTGTGGCTACAGCTCCTCTCTCCTTCTCTCTTCTCTTTTTCTTGTCACCCACAACGTGGTGAGCAAGGGACATGTTTCAGCCCTGTTTGTGTTACAGCTCTTTTAGCAACCCCATTTGGTGGGTACTGAGTTCTTGTCCTGTGTCCAGGAAGAATGAGGTACACAGACAAGTGGAGGGTGAGCAAGACGAAGAGGAGCTTTATTGAACAATAGAACAGCTCAGAGGAAACCCACAGTCGGTAGCTCCTCTACATAGCCATGGTGTCCCGATGAGTGTTCAGCTTTCAGCAGAGAGGGTAGCTCCTCTCTGCAGGCAGGTTGTCCCATCATCTCTTGAGCTCTCAGCAGAGAGGGTAGCTCCCTTCTGCAGCTGGTTGTCCCGTCATCTCTTCTGGTGTGGCTGAGTCCAGGGTTTTTTATGGGCCTTAGAGGGGAGAAAGTGCATGCCGATGGGTCCATGGGTGGCCATGGGCAGGCCCAGAAAAAGCACTGTAAGTACCCACTCTGGTCCATGGGACTGGCAGCTTGGTTCCCAGGCTTCAGGCCTTCCCCAGCTTGAAGGTGGGGCTTCACTGGGGACCTGCCCCTTTCTGCCCAGGAGCCTGTCTGCCTCTTGCCACTGTTCGTAGTGCCCAGGCTCTTTATGCTGAAGGGTACCTGCAGGCCAGCACCGAGCTGCCCTCAGCCCCTCTTCAGCCTCCCTCCTGTGCTTGTTGGTGCCCAAAGTCCAGAGGGGGCCAAGTGGGCAGGGGGCTGGTGTGTCACCGCTGTCCCGAGTGTGCACATACTCAGCCAGGTTATGACAGTGCTTGGGCTCGGCCTCAGCTTTGCTGTGTGATTGGAGTAGGTGTTGACAGCAGAGAGAAGCCAGACAGTGGGATCAGGCACTTCCAAGCCTACTGGAGACAGGGGGGACCCTTCCTGGGTCCCTGAGAGTGCAGAGATGCCTAGGTCTGCAGCTGCAGCTTGGGCAGCTGCAGCTGTGCCCAGGAGGGTGGGGCCGTTGCCTGCTTCTGGCCCCCGAGAGCTTAGGGATGCCCAGGTCTGCAGCCACAGCTTGGGTGGCTGCATTTGCCCTTGGGGAGCTCCTGCCAGCTCTGTGGAGTGCAGCACCATCCCAGGCCCCACTCCACCTCAGGGTCTGTCTCTGCCCACCCCTCTGTTCATGGCTGCACTACTCTCCCACCGATAGGTGACTCAGCCTGGCACCATTGTGCCAGCTCCCAGGGCAGCAGGCTCCGGGGGGCTCCCAGGGGTGGGCTTTGGGGACTGCTCACCTCCTCTCTGCACTTTCCCTGCAGTGATGGTGGATGAGGTGCCCTGGCCAACCCCACATGAATAAACTCCATGCTTTTGGGGCTGGTCCCATGAGTCCTGGCTGCACCTTTGGCTGGGTGTTTGCAGGCTCCCAAGATGCATTGGGGAGTGAGGTTGAGGCTACAGTGGAGGCTCTGGGCCTGGGAGCAGGTCTTGCCTGGCCATGTGAGGACGGGGGTGGTGCAGTCGGCTGCCTCAGGAACACAGGACACAGGGGCCGCACTGCCACCACTGCTGCTCCCACAGCCTCCTGCCACCACAGCCCACACCTCCCCACTGCAGCCAGCATGATGCAAGTGGCCACTCTTCATGGCCTGCTGCTGCCATCACTCTACTTGCCTGACTTCAATGAGACAGAGCACTCCCAAACACGTGAGCACCATGAAATGGGTTTATTACTTACACATAGGCAGCAAGGAACAGCAGAAGCCTAGGATTTGTGACAAACCAGCCCCCCAAAGCTCAGAAAATCGGCCCAGAATAAATGAAGTCTCGTCTGTGCATGCCTCACTTGCCCCACAGCTCAGGGACCCTGGTAAGCAGCCCACCCTGGGTTTTATACGCCAGAGTCTCATGACTTGCTAGGATAAAGCCTTGATGGACATCCTGTTTCTAGGAGGGACTGGAACAGCACCTGGGATGTTTTGGCCCCTTCTTCCATATTTCAGGATGTTGCATTCCCAGCATGTTCTACAGTTATTCCTCAGAACTACAAGCAAGAAAGTGTGGAGAACTTGGTTCATCCAAGGCCACCTAGAGAGCTGTCCTGCATTCCTCATTGCTCAGTTCTCCTTTTTGTGTTCCCTTTAACCCCTCCTCCCATCCAGGATGACATCAATCTTCTAATTTTTTTGATTCTTTAGGCTTTGTCATCTCCAGATCATTGTCTTTTTTGTACCTTCCCAGTGTGGTCCGAGGCCTGGCTGATCCTAGGAGAGATGTGTCAGTGCTAATGGGAGGGGGACTCTGATTACAGGAATACCTTGTTTTATTGAATTTCACTTTATTTTGCTTTGCAGATACTGGTGGGGTTTTTTGTTTGTTTGTTTGTTTGTTTATGCATTGAAGTTTTGTGGCAACCCTGCATCCAACAAGTCTATTGGCACCATTTTTCCAACAAGTGCCCACTTCATGATTCCATGTGAGCTTTGGTAAGGCTCACATTATTTCAAACTTTTTCAGATAAGCAACAAGGGAAAGCAGAAGCCTAGGATTTGTGACAAACCAGCCCCACCCACCCACCCACTGCCCCAGAGCTCGGAAAAGCTGCCCAGGTGCAAGGAGTAATTCTCACATTGTTTCAGACTTTTGAAAATTATTATATCTGTTATGGTGATCTGTGATCAGTGATCTTTGATGTTACTATTGTATTGTTTTGGGGTGCCATGAACCAAACCCATATAAGAAAGTGGACTTAATCGATAAATGTTGTGTATGTTCTGACTGCTCCACCAACCAGCCATTCTCCTGTCTCTCCCTCCTCGGGCCTCCCTAACAACTAAAACACAGCAAGATTGAAATTAGGCCAATTAACCCTTCACTGGCCTCTAATTAGGGTTCACATAAAAGGAGGAGTTGCACATCTCTCACTTTAAATCAAAAGCTAAGCATGATTGAATTTAGTATGGAAAGCATGTCAAAAGCTGAGACAGGCTGAAAGCTAGGCCTCTTGCACCAGTTAGCCAAGTTGTGAATGCAAAGGAAAAGTTCTTGAAGGATATTAAAAGTGATACTTGAGTGAACACACAAACGTTAAGAAAGCAAAACAGCCATATTGCTGATATGGAGAAAGTTTGAGTGGTCTGGATAGAAGATCAAACCAGCCATAAGATTCTCTTAAGCCAAAGTTTAATCCAGAGCAAGGCCCGAACTCCCTTCAATTCTATAAAAGCTGAGAGTGGTGAGGAAGCTTCAGAAGAAAAGCTTGAGGCTACGTAAATTGGTTCATGAGGTTTAAGGAACATAAGAAGACAAAGTGAAGCAGCAAGTGCTGGTGGAGAAGCTGCAGCAAGTTATCCAGAAGATCTAGCTGAGATTACTGATGAAGGTGGCTGCATAAACAACAGATTTTCAATGTAGATGAAACACTCTTCTATTAGAAGAAGATGCTATCTAGGACTTTCATAGCTAGAGAGGAGAAGTCAATGCCTGGCTTAAAAGCTTCAAAGGACAACCTGACTCTCTTGTTAGGGGCTGATGCAGTTGGTGATTTAAGATGAAGCCAATGCTCATTTACCATTCTGAAAGTCCTAGAGCTCTTAAGAATTATGCTCAATATAATCTGCCTGTACTCTAGAAATGGAATAACAAAGCCTAGATAAGAGTACATCTGTTTACAGCATGCCTTATTGAATATTTAAAGCCCACTGTTGACATCTACTACTCAGATAGATTCCTTTTAAAATATTACCGCTCATTGATAATGTGTCTGGTGACCCATGAGCTCTGATGGAGATGAACAAGAAGATGAATGTTATTTTCATGCCTGTGAAGAAAACATCCATTCTGCAGCCCATGGATCAAGAAATAATTTTGACTTTGAAGTTGTATTACTTAAGAAACACATTTTATAAGGCTGTAGCTGTGATAGATAATGTGGTCCCTCTGACAGATCCGGACAAAGTAAATTGAAAACTTTCTGGAAAGGATTTACCATTTTAGGTGCCATTAAGACAATTCATGATTCTTGGGAGGAGGTCAAAATGGCAACAATAACAGTAGTTTGGAATTTGAGTCCAACCCTCATGGATGACTTTGAAGGGTTCAAGACTTCAGTAAAGGAAGTCGCTGCAGATGTGGTGGAAATAGCAGGAGAACTAGAATTAGGAGGGGAGCCTGAAGATGTGACTGAATTGTTACAATCTCATGATCAAAGTTGAATGGATGAAAAGTTGCTTCTTACAGATGAGCAAAGAAAGTGATTTCTTGAGATAGAATCTGCTCCTGGTGACAACGCTGTGAACACTGTTGAAATGACAACAACAGACATAGAATATTTCTTAAACTTTGTTGATAAAGCAGCAGCAGGGCTTGAGAGAATTGACTCCAATTTTGAAAGAAGTTCTACCATTGGTCAAACTCTATCAAACAGCATCACGTGTTACAGAGGAATCTTTCATAAAAGGAAGAGTAAATTGATGTGGCAAACTTCATTGTTTTATTTTAAGAAATTGTCATGGCCACTCCAAACTTCAGCAACCATCATGCTGATCTGTCAGCAGCCATCAATATCAAGGCAAGACCCTCTACCAGTAAAAAAAGATTACAACTGAAGGCTCAGATGATCATTAGCATTTTTTAGGAATAGAGTACTTTTAAATTAAGGTATGCAATGTACCTTGCATACCTTAATGTAAGCAATGTACATTGCTTTTTTAGACATAATGTTATTGCACACTTAATAGACTACAGTATAAACATAACTTTTATATGCACTAGGTAATAAGAAATTCCATGTGACTCACTCTATTGCAATATTCACTTTACAGTGGTAGTCTAGAACTGAACCTGCAGTATCTCCAAGGTATGTCTACACTTATATATTGCTGCATAACAAAATCACCCCAAACTTAGCAGCTTAAAACAATAAACATTTATTGTTTTATATCATGCAGTCTTGGAGGTTCAGAAATCTGGGAATGACTTAGCTGTGTGGCTGTGATTCAGGGTCTCCTATTAGATTGCAGATAAGATGTCAGCTGGGGCTGCAGTCATCTGAAAGTTTGACTGGGGCTAGAGGAACCACTCTAAGCTGACTCACTCACATGGCTATTGGAAAGAGGACTCAGTTCCTTAATGCATGTTGGCAGGAGACCTCAATTCCTTGCCATGTGAGCCTCTTACAGGGCTGTTTGATGTGTCCTTATGACATGACAACTGGCTTCCCTGAGTTTTTATCCAAGAGAGAGCAAGGTAGAGCCACAGTGTATTTTATGACTTCGTTTCAGAAGTGACACATTGTCATTTCCACCATATTCTATTCATTACAAGTGTGTTACTAAACTCAGTAACACTAAACATAGTGTCTTACTAAGCACATGGAAGATAATTAAGCTTCACATCTCCAAGGGAGAAATGTTAACATACTTTAAAACTACCAAAGTCAGCTCAAAGTAGAAGGAATATAAAGTTGGATCAGGCTGAATGTATTTAAATGGGCTCACTGAGCTGAGATTTTCCAGATTTAGTGTGTTAGCTCCACGGACTGGGAATGACTCTGAAAGGATATCTTCAAAGGGGACAGCTGGATTTGAACCAGAGACTTCTTTAATTTGCAGTCAAATGCAGACTATATCCACATTCTGCTAGTGTGGCTGACTGAAAAACAGGCCCAAAGGTAGCCTACACCAAATGAACTTGAAATGCCAGAGCTTCCTTGGTATGTTGTAGTGGAAGATGTGGTAGGTAGAGCTGTAAGACGGCCCCCACAACTCCTGTACCCTAATATCCATATGTTTGTGTAGTTGCTTCCCCATGAGTGTGGATGGGATGTGTAACTTTTTTCTAATCAACAACATATAGCAGGCTGGGTGCAGTGGCTCATGCCTGTAATCCCAGCTCTTTAGGAGGCCAAGGCAGGTGGATCATCTGAGGTCAGGAGTTCAAGAGCAGCCTGACCAACATGGAGAAACCCCATCTCTACTGAAAATATAAAATTAGCCAGGCCTGGTGGTGCATGCCTGTAATCCCAGCTACTCAGGAAGGCTGAGGCAGGAGAATAGCTTGAATCCGGGAGGCGGAGGTTGCAGTGAGCCGAGATCGCGCCATTGCACTTCAGCCTGGGCAACAAGAGCGAAACTCCATCTCAAAAATAAAATAAAATAAATAAATAAAATAAACATATATATAGCAAAGGTGATGGGATGTCGTTTCAGCAATTATGTTACTTATCTGGCAAAGATGAAAGGATTTTGCAAATGGAATAAACCTAATCAGCTGACTATAAATTAATCTAAAGGGAGATTATCCTGGATGTGCCTGACTCAATTGTAAGAGGACTTAAGACTTCCTTGAGAGAGTGAGACCTCAAACAGCCACTAGGTCTGCAATTCCTCTATTCTCTCTACATCCTTCTGCCTTTTGCCTGTGAACAACAAGCTTAAGCTTATGTCTACAGGGTTCCAAAAATCCAAGCTTGTCATTTTCCTCCTGAAAGAGGTCAAGTGCACTCAGAAGAATCAATCCCATATTATAGTTCTTGCAGCCATCATTAAAACAGCAGCCACTTGGGCTCCCAAGACATCTACTTCATTTAACACTTAACACAATCAACCACAGTGATAGCTTGATTGGTTGTGATGCCAGTGTATGCCATGGACTACTAGCATCCCATTATTTCTCATTGGCAAGGGGCTCCACATTGCATTCAAGCCAAGAATACAAACAAACCAATTCCCCAAACCCATGGTGTGAAGCTATCTACTGATTGCTACCACCTTGCCTCTGGTATCAATTCTGTACCAATCAGGATCCAATAGGAAGACAGAAACCACATGGTAACTTAACTTGGAAAAGGTTAGTATACAGAAATAGTAACTCTAGCAGAGGATTGGAATAGTGAGGGACATTGACTAGTGAGGGGCAAAGAGAACTCTAAAGAATATAGGAAGAGCAGATATAGGGAGTAAACCCTATCCTAGGGCTGAGAAAGGGCACCCAAGGAAGGAACAGATCTGGAAAAACCCCACCTCCACCGCAGGCTGAGATTTAAGCTTTATTGAAAAGGCTGTGGTCATGGCTTACAGAGTGGAGAAATTCACTAAGATGCCACAGCAGCTGAGTTCAAGGGGAATCCACCCCTTAGGGTGTTGGGGGCAACGACCCACAGGGAGATGTTGCACCTGCAGCAGTCACTGGGAAACTTTATGGGAGTTCTTGGGGAAACCAACCATGAGAAAGTGCTGCCCTCAGAAGTTGCTGCAAAGCTGCCTGAAAGGTGCTGAGGAAGCCATTCACAAGGAGGTGCCATGCAGCAACACTCCAGAGAAAGCAGACACATGCTGCTGGCTCAGTGTACTGTGCGAGCCCAGAGCTGCAGATGCTGCACACGCTGCAGGAGCCTCCAGGCAGAGTGCACCACAACCAGGAATACAAACCCTTTCCTTCCCCAGCATCCCTCTTGCACCTTCTACTGACAAAGCATAACGTTGTGCCACTGACTAGGGAGAAATAGTTACAGGGTCCCACTCCATTATCACAGAGCAGGCAATGAGGGATGCATTTGGAGTCAAGAGACAATACTTTGATAACTGGCACAGGAGACATACTAACAGAGGTTTTCAGCCCTCATCCTAGGGCAGGGCAACAGTTCTACCTGTCCCAGGGCCTCAAACCAGCAGGTTGGCCCAGCTGGAGTTGCTGGGGCTGGACACTAAGTCTAGGTTCCCCAGAAACAAAGCTTGAACAAACAAGGGCTTCTGTGTTGGGACCAGAGACCCCTCCTCTGCAGGTCAATCCCAGGCCCTGAATGGGCAACTTTCCCTGAGGTAGGCTCACCTGCAGTGTGTCTGCTTGCTGGCCCTTCTGTGTGCCTATGCTCCCCACCTGGATATCCATCAAGCCACCAAAGTTACTCCCCCACCTTTCAAAAATACTTTTTATTTTATAGAAAACTACATAGAATAATTTAAGAATCACCAATATACTTAACACCCAGAAGTGGTAACTGCTATCATGTTAGAACTGGCCCATCATTTTAAGGTAGTGAAACATCACCAACACAGCTATGTCCCCTGCAACATCCTCCTTCCCAATCCACTCCCATTCCTCCCCTCCCTAAAGACAACTATTATCATGAATTTAGGCTGCATCCTTCCACTTTCCACTTGGTTTTTATTTTTCAACTTTTTGAGATAACTGAAGTACTTTTCAGCTAATTTTCTCCAATAATATAATTTTGAATAACTAGTGTACAATAGCACCACCAGGAAACTGACATTGATACAAGCCCCACCAATCTTATTCAGATGTCATTAGATTTACATGCACCTGTGTGTGTGTGTTTAGTTCTTTGCAATGTTATAACTGATGTAGACTTATATGGCCACCACCACAGTCAACCTATAGAACAGTTTCCTCACAAGGGTCCCTCATGCCACCTTTTTATAGCCACAGCTACTTTCCCTCCTCATCCCTCTCTAATCCTGGCAACCACTAATCCATTTCCCACATCTATAATTTTATGATTTCAAGATTGTTTTGTGCATGAAGCCATACAATATGTAACCTTCTGAGATTGGCTTTCTTTCACTCAGCATAAATCCCTAGAGATCTATCGAAGTTTTTGTGTGTATCAATGGTCTACTCCTTTTTATTGCTGAGTAGTATTTCATCATACAGATGAACAATAGTTTGCTAAACCTCATTCACATATTGAAGGATGTTTGGGTTGTTTCCAGCTTTTGGCCATTATGAATAAAACTTCTATGAACACTTGGGTACAGATTTTTCTGAGAAAAAAAAATTTTGCTTCTTCGGGATAATGCACAAGAGTGCAATTATTGGGTCCTACAGTTAGCACATGTTTGGCTTGGTCAGAACCTGCCAAACTCTTTTGTAGAGTGACAGTACCATTTTACGTTTCTACCAGTAATGTATGAGTAATCCAGTTTTTCTGCATCCTCAACAGCATTTGATAATATCACTTTTCTATTTTAGTTATGCTGATGGGAGAGTAGTGATATCCTATTGTAGCTTTATTATCATTTTCCTAATGGCCGATGATGTTGACATCTTTTCATGTGCTTATTTGCCAACTGAATATCCTCTTCAGCGAAATGTCTTTAAATATTTTGCTCATTTTTGAAATAGACTTTTTTTGTTAAATTTTGACAACTTTATGTATTCTGGATACAAGTCCCATTTTAAAAATACTTTTATATTTATATATGGGTATACAGAAACAATATTCCATATTTTCTGTGTATGTTTAAACAACCCAAATGAGATAATGCTAAACATATAGTTCTGTATCTTAAATTCCTTGCACATGACACTGTTCTTTTTGAGAGCTATCTGGTCACTTTTGCAGCTGTTGAATGTGGAGCACTCATGAGGTGATAATAAAAGCAATTCCATTTTTGCTCCTCACTGCCCCTTTTAAACTTTCTCAGTGAAATGGTTTTTTCTTGTCAAAGAGGCTTTAATGATTACTCTTAGGTAGCAGAAAGTCCCATAGCTGCAATCTTAATTCAGTCATTAAAATGTTCAGTCCCATGGAATAACTGATACTCTGAAATCGACTGGAGCATCTATCTTCCGCTAGAAGTGGAAGAATTGAGTCATGGTCCCTCCTTTCCCTGTCCCCATCTAGCATTCATCCCTAGCATCTAGGGTGGGGAGAGGGGGAAGAGGGGAGGAGAGGAAAAGGAGAATGAGAAAGTTCTTACTTGCCTGGCACTGTAATAAGATAGGTTTGTTTTTTCTGGGCTTGGCAAGTGTTTAAAATGACTCCCTGGATATTTCCATGGGATTCTTCAAAGGGCTTCATTGGGAACATCTGACTGCCTCTGTGACCTGGCACACACCTCTCTTAGGCTGACATTTCTACCTGCACCTCTGGCTTTCTGGGTTCCATGTCACACAGATTCTCTCTGTTGGGGTCCATGACTCATCCTCTTGGGCAGAGTTTAACATAGCTCCTGAGTAGCTTTCTCTCTTGTGTGGCCTGCAGGGAACACCCCTGTGCCTTTGGTCCCCAGCCCATGCTGGTGATGCAGGCCCATTTCCAAGAGCTGCATCACACTCCCACCTGCAGGGCAGCCACCCCTGCTTAGCTTTGTGCCCTCCTTTGTGCTGGACTCTGCTCCATCGCAAACCCCGACTCCAGGGCATGTGGACCAAGTTCTGTGAGCTGAGACTCCTTGAAGCTCCTTTACTAGGCTTGAGTTAGGGGAAACCCCCCACTCAACTCTTTCCCCTTGAGAAGAGCAGGAAAATGTATTCCTCACCAACACTCTAATCTCCAACAAACTGACCCTCTTATACCCTCCTGGTAGGAAGCCATCTGGTTATCAGACATGACTTTGAAATTTCCACATGGTGCTCTCTCATGCCTACTTTTGGTATCTGATACCTATTTTATCTTGCACCCTCAGCTTAAACTTTCTTTAAACTGCATAATTTAAAAAATTACATTATAAGAGTCCAGAAAGTGTTATTTATCTATTCCACTATAAAGGGACATACTCAGGACATTTCTTTTTTGTTTGTTTTCAAATTAACAATAGTGCTGCAAAGAACATTTGTGCACATCTCCTGAGAAACTTATGCTAGAGTTTCTCAGATGTACCAAGAAGTGAAATTCCTGAATTTTATGCATACTTTTAAGTATACTCTTATAGGTCTATATGATTTATATACTTATTTTGCTGTTTTTATTGCCAAAATTTTCTCCATAGTGAGTGTACCAATTTAGCAATTTTATACTATCAGATATATAAATCTTAAACACAAGCCCCCAATCTGTGCCCATCTGTACACTTCCTTATAAAGTCCAGTTTTAGCCAAGAGTTCTGCTAAGCCAGTTTAGCAAAAACCCCTACACCCTTGATATCTGAGCACTCTTTTCTTTTTTTTTTTATTATTATACTTTAAGTTTTAGGGTACATGTGCACAACGTGCAGGTTTGTTACATATGTATACATGTGCCATGTTGGTGTGCTGCACCCATTAACTTATCATTTAGCATTAGGCATATCTCCTAATGCTATCCCTCCCCCTCCCCCTACAACAGTCCCCGGTGTGTGATGTTCCCCCTTCCTGTGTCCATGTGTTCTCATTGTTCAATTCCCACCTATGAGTGAGAACATGCGGTGTTTGGTTTTCTGTCCTTGCGATAGTTTGCTCAGAATGATGGTTTCCAGCTTCATCCATGTCCCCACAAAGGACATGAGCTCGTCCTTTTTTATGGCTGCATAGTGTTCCATGGTGTATATGTGCCACATTTTCTTAATCCAGTCTATCATTGTTGGACATTTGGGTTGGTTCCAAGTCTTTGCTATTGTGAATAGTGCTGCAATAATCATACATGTGCATGTGTCTTTATAGCAGCATGATTTATAATCCTTTGGGTATATACCCAGTAATGGGATAGCTGGGTCAAATGGTATTTCTAGTTCTAGATCCCTGAGGAATCGCCACACCGACTTCCACAATGGTTGAACTAGTTTACAGTCCCACCAACAGTGTAAAAGTGTTCCTATTTCTCCACATCCTCTCCAGCACCTGTTGTTTCCTGACGTTTTAATGATCGCCATTCTAACTGGTGTGAGATGGTATCTCATTGTGGTTTTGATTTGCATTTCTCTGATGGCCAGTGATGATGAGCATTTTTTCATGTGTTTTTTGGCTGCATAAATGTCTTCTTTTGAGAAGTGTCTGTTCATATCCTTCACCCACTTGTTGATGGGGTTGTTTGTTTTTTTCTTGTAAATTTGTTTGAGTTCATTGTAGATTCTGGATATTAGCCCTTTGTCAGATGAGTAGGTTGCAAAAATTTTCTCCCATTGTGTAGGTTGCCTGTTCACTCTGATGGTGGTTGCTTTTGCTGTGCAGAAGCTCTTTAGTTTAATTAGATCCCATTTGTCAATTTTGGCTTTTGTTGCCATTGCTTTTGGTGTTTTAGACATGAATATAATAGCTGGTCAACTTCCTCCTCCTTCATCATCTACCAGGTGATGATGTCTGATTTCCCTGGCCTGTCTTCAGCAAGAATCCTGTTAGGCCAGTTTAGCCAGAATTCCCCTTACTCCTGATGTTACTTAGTAATTTTCCATCCATTGACCCCTAACCCTGCTCCTTGGCTATAAATACCTACTTAGCCATGCTGTATTCAGAGTTGAGCCCTGTCTGTCTCCCCCACTGCAAAGCCCAGTTGCTGCAGTGGTCTCTATACCTATTGCAATGGCTTCCTCACTGTGCTTTAACAAGTATCATTGAATAACTTTTCTTTAACAATATATATGTATGTGTGTGTGTGTGTGTTTGTGCATGTGTGTGTGTGTGTATTCTGTATATTCTACCAAAAGTTTGAGTTCATATTTAGGTCTTTAATTCATCTGGTTTTTTGTTTTTTTGTGTTTTTTTTTCAGATGGAGTTTCACTCTTGTTGACCAGGCTGGAGTGCAGTGGCGCAATCCTGGATCACTGCAACCTTCTCCTCCTGGGTTCAAGCAATTCTCCTGCCTCGGTCTCCTGAGTAGCTGGGATTACAGGTACCCACCACCACACTTGGCTACTTTTTTTGTATTTTTAGTAGAGATGGGGTTTCCTCATGTTGGCCAGGCTAGTCTCGAATTCCTGACCTCAGCTGATCCACCTACCTCAGCCTCCCAAAGTGCTGGGATTACAGGCGTGAGCCACCATGCCTGGCCTCATCTGTATTTTTTTAATGGAGTGAGGTAGGGATCACATTGTGATTTTGTTTAGAAGACAATTATTCAAGCACCATTTATTGTATAGTCCACCCTTTCCCCACTGATTGGTGACACCATCCCGGTCTTATATTCTGAGACCACACTTCATCTAGAGCAACACTGTCCAATAGAAATATAATGCAAGCTGCAAATGTGAGCCATATATGTAATTTCATAGTTTCTAGTAGACACATTAATACATAAAAACAAATCATTGAAATTTATTTTAATGCAATATTCCATTTAACCCAAATATCTAAAATATTATTATTGCAACATGTAATTAAGCTAACAAGATATTTTACATTCTTTTTGTACTGTATTCAAAAATCTGATGTGTTTGTGAGGGACATTTTCATATTTTCTGACGGTGCAGAATCTTTGAGTGCACTAGCTGTACGTGGGGAATGTCTTCCTTATAAGACCAGCAACCTCAAAATAGAAGCTAGAAAACTTGTTCTCCAGGCCCCTTTGAGTTTATGGAATGGGCCTGGGCTCCAGTGATGGGATGTACCCTTTTAAGGCCTGAAGAGGGAAGAGGGAGGGGCAGGGTCCATTTGGCTTGCAAGGATGGTGTTGTTGTTTTCCAGTTTTGAGGGCTTGAGTTTCTGGTAGAGAAGTGGTATGAGTTGTGGTGTCTGGAATGTAGACTGTGTCATCTGGTGCAAGGTGGCACCTGCATTTTTGTTTCTTCAGTGGGCCAGTTCTGCAGGGTGGTTTGGGGCATTTTTTCTGAAAGGTTAGACTGGAGACTCATTTTCCACAACTCTACCTTGTGAGAGAGATGCTTTTAATAAACTTTTACTGCTCAATCTAGGTTCTGTTGCTGGTCCCTAAGGGCCCTGATGAACACAGTGAGTGAAATCTTGAAGTGCCAGCTGCTCCACACTAAAGAGTTCTCAGAAATGAATCTCCAGGAGGGGTGAATTAAAGCCATGCTTTTCAATCTATCTGTGGTGAAAACCCAGCTTTATTTTTATTTCCTTAAAATCTGTCATGAATCAACACTGGTCCATCAGACTTGCAGACTTTGAGACCCACCACACCACCAGAACTGGCCAATGGAAGATTGTTATAGACTTTCTCAGCATTTACTCTCAATTTCTGAATTTCTCCCATCACAGACCTGTAACAAAGAGTTCATGGACTGGCCTCAGGTCATGGACCACAATGAGTAGCACTGAGCTGAAAGACATGCTAACCATGAATTCCTCTGGCATCCAGGGATGACTTTACCACTCTGTTAAGTTAGTTATGCAAGCCCTTTGTAGAACTGCCTTTTCCAAACTAGTGGAAGAATCATGCACCAGCAGTTAGAAGCTGCATTCAGCTGCTAGTAACCAACTGGAAATGAGAGTGACTACTGTGCTAAGGGGTACAGGCTCACTCACTACAGCATACCTTGCATTTCTAACACAAAGACAAGAAGTTCCTGGGGGAACTTGTAGGCAGACAAGCAGCAAAAGTGTATGGTTCCCTGCGTTCTCCTTATCATGTAGAGATGTAGACTTGGGCCAGGCAGAGCTGGGTGCACCATGGGATGTGGAACAATAGAAGGACTTTCCTCCTACACTACTCTGTATCATTAGAGGGAAGCTGAGAAAGCTGTGGGAACACTTAGTTGACTCTGTAACAATGAAAGTTTCCTGGTCAACTCTCAACAATGAGAATTTCTACCAGGGAAATTGCCTTGGTAGAAAAACCTTTTTCATGACTAACTCAGACCTACTGAGGTAGGTGCTTGGTAGGCTGTCAACGGAGAAAGTGGATGAACTTTCAGAATCGTGTGGATTTGTCTGTCCTTGGAGGTTTCAACAAGATAGCAATTTATATATTTTTCATAAAGGATGTATGGAGGTGTATTAGTCTGTTCTTACACTGCTATAAAGACTTACCCTGAGACCGGGTAATTTATGAAGAAAAGAGGTTTAATTGACTCACAGTTCCACAAGTTGTATAGAAATTATGGCTGAGAAGGCCTCAGGAAACTTACAATCATGGCAGAAGGTGAAGGGGAAGCAGGCACATCTTCACATGGCCAGAGCAGGAGGAAGAGAGTGAAGAAGGAAGTGCTACATGCTTGTAAACAACCAGATCTCATGAGAAGGTATTCACTTTCATGAGAATAGCAAGGCGGAAGACCACACGCATGATCCAATCACCTCCCACCAGGCCCCTCTTCCAACATTAAGGCTTACAATTTGACATGAGATTTGGGTGGGGACACAGAATCAAACACATCATTCCACCCCTGGCCCCTCCCAAATTTCATCCTTCTCACATTTCAAAACACAGGCATGCCTTTCCAATAGTCCCCCAAAGTCTTAACTCATTTCAGCATTAACTCAAAAGTTCAAGTTCAAAGTCTCACCCGAGACAAGGCAAGTTCCTTCCACTGATGAGACTGTAAAATTAAAAAAAAAAAAAAGTTATTTCCAAGATACAATGGGAGTACAGGCATCGGGTAAATGCTCCTGTTCCAAAAGGGATAAACTGGCCAAAATAAAGGGACTACAGGCCCCATGCAAGACCAAAATCCAGCAGGGCAGTCATTAAATCTTAAAGCTCCAGAATTATCTTTTTGACTCCATGTCTCACATCCAGTTTACATTGATGCAAGGAGTGGGCCAAGGCAGCTCTGCCCCTGTGACTCTGTAGGGTACAGACCCCATGGCTGCTTTCATGGATGGGTATTGAGTGCCTGAGGCTTTTCCAGGCATATGGTGCAAGCTGTTGATGGGTCTACAATTCCAGGGACTGGAAGGGTGGTAGCCCTCTTCTCACAGCTTCACTAGGCAGTGCCCCAGTGGGGACTCTATGTGGGGGCTCCAACCTCACATTTACCCTTAGCACTGCCCTAGTAGAAGTTCTCTATGAAGGCTCCACCCTTGCAGCAGACTTCTGCCTGGACATCCAGGTGTTTCCATACAACCTCTGAAATCCAGGTGGAGGCTTCCAAGCCTCAACTCTTGCCCTCTGCACACCCGCAGGCTTAACACCATGTGAAAGCCACCAAGACTTCTTATGGCTTGCACCCTCTGGAGCAGCAACCTGAGATGTATCTGAGGCCCTTTTAGTTACAGCTGGGGCTGGAGCAGCTGGGAAGCAAGTGCCATGTCCTGAGACTGCACAGAGCAGCAGGGCCCTGGGCCTGGTCCATGATACCATTTTTCCCTCCTAGGCTTCTGGGCCTATGATGGGAAGGACTGCCATGAAGTTCTCTGGATTGCCTTGGAGGCATTTTCCTCATTGTCTTGATTATTAACACTTGGCTCTTCTTTACTTATTCAAATTTCTGCAGCTGGCTTCAATCCCGCCACAGATAATGAGTTTTTCTTTTCTACCACATGATCAGGCTGCAAATTTTCCAAACTTTTATGCTTTGCTTCCCTTTTGAATATAAGTTCCAATTTCAGACCATCTCTTTGTGAACATATATGATATGCTGTTAGAACCAGCCAGGTCACATCTTGATGCTTTCCTGCTTAGAAATTTCTTCTGCCAGGTACCCTAAATCATCTCTCTCAAGTTCAAAGTTCCACAGATCCCTAGAGCAGAGGCACAATGCCACAGTCTCTTTGCTAAAGAAAAGCAAGAGCGACCTTTACTCCAGTTCTCAATAAGTTCCTCATCTCCATCTGAGATCACCTAAGCCTGGACTTCACTGTTCATATCACTATCAGCATTTTGGTCACAACCATTCAACAAGTCTCTAGGAAGCTCCAAACTTTCCCTCATCTTCCTGTCTTCTTCTGAGCCCTCCAAACTGTTCCAGCCTCTGCCCATTACACAGTTCTGAAGTCACCTCCACATTTTCAGGTATCTTTACAGCAATGCCCCACTTCTCTGGTACCAATTTGCTGTATTAGTCTGTTTTCACACTGCTATAAAGACATACCTGAGACTGGGTAATTTATGAAGAAAAGAGGTTTAGTTGGCTCACAGTTCCACAGACTGTACAGGAAACGTGGCTGGGGAGGCTTCAGAAAACTTACAATCATGGCAGAAGTTGAAGGGGAAGCAGGAACATCTTCACACTGCCGGAAGAGGAGGAAGAGAGAGGGAGGAAGTGCTACACACTTTTAAACAACCAGATCTCATGAGATCTCTCTCACTGTCATGAGAACAACAGGGGGAAGTCTGCCCCCATGATCCAGTCACTTCCCAGTAGGCCCCTTCTCCAACATTGGGGATTACAATTTGACATGAGATTTGGGTGGTGGCATAGATCCAAACCATATCAGGAGGTGAGCAGACCAGAGCTGGCATGGTAACTCGAGGGTGTCTTTAGAGACACAGGCTCCTTTTATCTCTCTGGTCAGCCTTCCTTAAAATGTGGATCCCATCCTCAAAGTTGACTCATGGTCTAAGTTGATAGCTTGTGCCCCAGCCATCACATCTATGTTATAAGTAGGAAGCAGAAGTAAAGGCAAAAGAAGCACATGACATGTTTGTCCTTCTCTTAAAATTTCCCAGAAGTCTTAACTGTTCCTTATCCCTCATGTGTATGCCACCCCTGGCCAAAGACGGCCTAGGAGTGTGGTCTTTTAGCTGAGAACATAACTGCTCAGTATGAAATCTGAGTTTCTATTACTACAGAAGAGAAAAGAATGAATATTGGGTACTTAACTAGTAGCCTCCTTTGAGACACACACACATACACACACACGTGTGGCACTGTTTCTACAATTTTTAAAAAGTGGATAAAATACAGCAAATATTCAGGGTCGCTGTGTTGCATCATTCCAGGGTGCTGTGTAATTGGTAAAGTTATAAAATGTGCAACCTGTGTGTCTGCACATGGTTGCCCTGGCAACCACCATCATCTCTCCAGTGTTTCATGTATTAAGACCTATCATATTAATGTCTGCTGCTCTTTGAGCTAATAACATATTTTTAACGATTGGTGAATTGGTCTGTTTTCCCTCCGCATGATTACTAGGAGCTATGAGATGTTTTGAATTCCACAGTAAGAGCTTCTCCTAACCTAGGATCTTTGGAATAATTATTTGCTACCTCTCCTAGACATTTGGCTCTGGCATTTTAATACTCGTTTTACCAGTTAGAGTTTTATTGTGTCTTTTATTGTAAGTTGCCTTGGATTCTTTTTTTAAAGCAAGCTTGGTGTAAACAAATAAAATCTTGGTGGTAATAATTAGGTACAAGGGAAACAGAAAAAATCTAGGGCAGCTTTCCTCTACCCCTCCAGGAAATGATTATGGCTGAGGAGGTAAAAATGAAATATGTGAAAAATGTCACAAGAGAAACACTTCAGTCTTTGCCATTGGTTGGAAAATTTGGTTCCTTGAGGCTGGCCTACCAGATAACAAGGAGCTATACTATAATTGCCCAGTGTAAAATGGTAGTGACAAAGGGGGCACCTGGATTTGAACCAGGGACCTCTTGATCTGCAGTCAAATGCTCTACCCCTGAACTATACCCCCCAAGGTACTCATCTTCTTTCAATAAAGATATATTAATAATCACAGTCATTCACAAGCTACGCTCTGGCCACTCTGTCTCCAGAGTGTGGAGTTATGTAATGCACAACAGAGCAGCTCTTCTGTACAACCCCCTCCACACCTGCCGGCACCTGGCCAATTAAGCTGCAGCCTTAGCTTTTTGGGAAAAGGAGAGTGGTGGGGTTAAATCCAGATATAGACATAGCTTGAGGGCCTGGGTTCGGGCCCTGGGCCTGATTGTTCTGGAGTGCAAGGAGCCCCTACTTGATAGTAATTGATGTTCCAATATTGAGCCATCAGTGCATTTCTGTTTTAAGTCTTTCTTGGTTATGTGGGATTGTACTATTGGATAAGGTTTTCTACTATTTTGTCTAGATTACTCTGAAATGAGATTGGCCTATAGCTTTCTTTGTGGTATATGCTCTTGTAATTTATTTTTTATATCAGGATTATGTGAATTTTCTAGAATGATTTGGAGAGATTTAAAGCGTTCTACGCTGGAACATTATATATAACATAAAATTACATATTCTTAACTAAAGATTAGCAGAAACTTGCTTGTAAGCCTCTGGGTGGGGTGCCTTTTGTGAGGAAGAGCTCCTTAATGATCTTTTAATGAATTCTGTCATTATTGGTCTATTTAAGTGCTCTGCTTCATCTTAGGTCACTTTTAGTAATTCATTTTCACTTAGAAAATATAATAAAGTTGTACATAGTATTTGCTTTTCTTTCCTTCCTTTCTTCCTCCCTTCCCTTCCCTTCCTTCTTTTCTTTTCTTAGATGGAGTTTCGTTCTTGTTGCCTAGGCTGGAGTGCAATCTTGGCTCACTGCAACCTCCACTTTCTGGGTTCAAGCAATTTTCCTTCCTCAGCCCCCTGAGTAGCTGGGATTACAGGCACCCACTACCATGCCCAGCTAATTTTTGTATTTTTGGTAGAGATAGTGTTTTGCCATGTTGGTCAGGCTGGTCTCGAACTCCTGACCTCAGGTGATCCACCTGCCTTGGTCTCCCAAACTGCAGAGATTACAGGTGTGAGCCACTGTGCTCGGCCCATAGTATTCTCTTATAATCTGAAATTTTATTTAGCTATGTTCTATTTTTTTTTCATTATGTTGTTCATTTGTCTTTTTTGGCTTAGACAACATGAAGATTCGTTTATTTTTTGAGGTAAAAATTCAGATCCAACTTCAGTTACCAACAGTTGATCAGTTGATCTCAGTAGTTGTTGCCTCTTGTATTTTGAAGCTCTGTTAATAGATGCATACACACTTAAGACTGTTATGTCCTATTGATGAACTGATCTTTTTATCATTATGAAATATTCCTCTTCAATTCAGTAATTTTCCTTGTTCTGGTCTATTTAGTCTGTTATAGAATACACTTTTCATCTTTCTTTTGGTTAGTATTTGTTTGGCATATACTTTTTCCACTCTCTTAAATTATTCATCTTATTATATTTAAAGTGGCATTCTTATAGATAGCTTATAGATTTCTTTGTTCAAGTGATCCTCCCGTGTCAGCCTCCCAAGTAGCTAGGACTACAGGTGTGAGTCACCATGCCCAGCTAATTTTTTTAAAAATTATTTTTCGTAGAGACAGAGCCTACCAGATAACAAGGAGCTATTCTATAATTGCCCAGTGTAAAAGGATAGTGACAAAGGGGGGGCACCTGGATTTGAACCAGGGACCTCTTGATCTGCAGTCAAATGCTCTACCCCTGAGCTATACCCCCAAGGTACTCATCTTCTTTCAATAAAGATGTATTAATAATCACAGTCATTCACAAGCTACGCTCTGGCCACCCTGTCTCCTGTAGCTCTCCAGGAGCTACAGGTGTGGAGTTATGTAATGCACAACAGAGCAGCTCTTCTGTACAACCCCCTCCACACCTGCCAGCATCCGGCCAATTAAGCTGCAGCCTTAGCTTTTTGGGAAAAGGAGAATGGTGGGATTAAATCCAGATGTAGACATAGCTTGAGGGCCTGGGTTTGGACCCTGGGCCTGATTGTTCTGGAGTGCAAAGAGCCCCTACTAGCCTCAAACTCCTGGCCTCAGGTGTTCCTGCGGCCTCAGCCTCCCAAAGTGCTGAGCCAAACTCCCAAAGTGCTAAGCCAGTGTGCCCAGCCACATTTGGTTTTATTTGTTCCAAATACTAGATTTTGTTCTTGTTTTCCTGACTTCATTGGGATTTCATTTTTTTAATGATCTCCTTTTGTCTCCACCATGAGCTTATTAGCTATTCCTCTTTGTTTTATATTTTTTAGGGTTCCTCTAGAGATCACAGTATCATCTTTAACTTATCACATTTTACCTTCAGATAATGTTTTGCTACTTCTCTGATAGTGTAAGAATCTTACAACAGATTTCCATTCCCCTCATTTTGTCCTTTGTGTTATTATTGTCATAGATTTTACTTCTATGTATATTATAAACCCAGTATATTTATATTATTTTTGCATTACTTATCTCTTTTTTTGTTGTTTTTAATTTTTTAATATAAAAAGGAGACAGGATCTCATTATGTCGCCCAGGCTGGTCTTGAACTCCTGGCCTCAAGCGATATTCCTGCGTTGACCTCCCAAAATCCTGGGATTACAGGTGTGAGCCACTGTGCCCAGAAGCATTAATTATCCTTTAAAGAGATTTTAAAATGAGGCAAAATTATATTAATCTACATATGTACCATTTCTGACACTTTTTATTACTTTGAGCAAATCCAGATTTTCATCTGGTATCATTTTTCTCTTTCCCTGAAGAAGCCTACTCTACTTCCTATAAAGTAGGTCTATGGGTAACGAATTCTTTCAGCTTTTGTTGGTCTGAAAAAATGTTTACCGTCATTGATGAAAGATATTTTCACTGGGTGTAGAACTCATTGAATATAGAATTAGTAGTATTTTTAAAAAGATATTCCTTTTCCCCCTTTCTAGACTGCATGATTTTTGATAAGAAGTCTGCTTTCATTCCTCTATGTTGGCTGTCTTTAATATTTTTTCTTTATCATTAGCTTTCAGCAACTTTATCATGATGTGCTTTGGTTTGGTTTTCTTTATGATACTTATGCTTGGCGTTTGTTGAGATGATCTGTGGATTTCCAATTTTCATCAAATTTGAAAACTTTTGGACCACTTATTAAAATTTTTTTCTGTATTTCTCTCTGTTCTTTTCTTCAGAGACCACACACACACACACACACACACACACACACACCACACCACACCACGCTTTTTTTAAAAAAAAAACAGGTCTTGCTCTGTCACCCATGCTGGAATGCAGTGGCATGATCATAGCTCACTGTAACCTCAAACTCCTGGGCTCAAGCGATCCTCTCATCTCAGCCTCCTGAGTAGCTGGGACTATAGGCACACACCACCACACCCGGCTAATTAAAAAAAATTTTTGTAGACACAGGGTTTTGCTTATTACATAGGCTTGTCTTGAACTCCTGGCTTCAAGCAATCCTCCCACCTTGGCCTCCCAAAGTGTTGGGATTACAGGCGTGAGCCACCATGCCTGGCCAAATATATATGTATTAAACTGCTTGATATTGTCTCACAGCTCACTAAATCTATGCTTATTGTTTTCTGTCTTCTTCCTCTGTGTACTTCATTTTGGTAGCTTATATTGCTATGTCTTTAAGTTTAATAATCTTTCCTTCTAAAACATCTAACCCAGTTACTTTTCATTTCAGATATTGTATTTTTATCTATAGAATTATATTTGGGCCTTTTTAATATTTTTTATTTCTTTCCTCATTATGTCCTTGTCTTCCTTTGCATATTTCAGCACATTTATAAGATTTATAATAGCTGTTTTAAAGTGATTTTCTGCTAACTTCATCATCTCTTTCCTTTCTGCATCTGTTTTTCCTCTGATTATGGCTCATATCTTCCTTTGTCTTTGCATTTTTGTTAGTACGTTGGACATTGTGAATTTTATGTTGTGAATGTAAAATTGGATGCTATGTTTGGTTATATTCCTTTAAAGAGTGCTGAATACTAGATTTAGTTGTATTCCTTTAAAGAGTATTGAATTTTGTTTTGGGATGCAATTAAGTAACTTGGCTGTCAACCTACTCCATTTGAAGCTTGCTTTTACATTTTGTTAGAGTGAGTCCAGAGTAGCCTTTATTCTGTACATTAGTCCTCCTTTATCTAATAGTTTCATTTTTCAAGGTATCAGTTACCTGTGGTCAACCTTGGTCTGAAAATAGGTGATATAGTACAATAAAATATTTTGAGAGACAGTGAGAGAAAGGGAGACCACATTCATATAACTTTTATTAAAGTATACAGTTATTATTATTCTATTTTATTATTGATTATTGTTGTTAATCTCTTACTGTGCCACACTTATAAATTAAATTATTATTTTTATTATAGGCACGTATGTATAAGAAAAAACAGTATAATTAGGATTTGGTATTATCTGTGGTTTCAGGCATCCACTGGGGATTTTGGGATATATCCCCTGCAGCCAAGAGAAACTGCAGTATAATTTACCTTCACTCCTATGGCAAGAACCTTCTGATAACTTTGCTCAGTGCCTTAGGTATTATGAGATCTCTCCACTGTCTTTGATTTGGAACATGAATTCTTTCTGGTCCTGTGTGAACTCTAGGAGTTGTTTGCCTTGCTGTCTACTGGTGTATTTTTGGCGTTTTTGTTTTTTTTTTTTCATTTTGGACTTAAGGATTTTCCTGTTGTCTAGGCAGAATTTTAAGATACCTCCCAGCTCCCACCAAGATTCCTACCCCCTGGGATATATGCACCATATAATCCTCTTCCTTTCCTTGTGGGCAAAACTTATGAATATGATGGGATTTCACTCTCATGATTAGGTTACACTATATCATAAAGGTAAAGGCATTTTGCAGGTTAAGGTCTCTAATAAGTTGACTTTGATTCATCAAAAGGGAAATTATCCTAGGCAGGTATGACCTAATCAGAGGAGCCCTTTAAAAGAAGGTCCTGGTCTTTCTTGAAGAGAGAGATCCTTCTTCTAGCTTTGAAAAGGTGGGTTGCCATTTTCTGGAAGGACCATGTGGCTAGGACCTGAGGGCAACCCCTAGGTGCCTGGCCAACAGCCAGCAGGCAATAGGGACCTCAATCATATGGCCACAGAGAAATGAATTCTGCCCAAACCAGTGAGCTTGGAAAAGAGCCCTGAGCCTGAGCCTGGCTGCATCTAGATTTCAGCCTTATAAGGGCCTGAGGAGATGACCAGCTAAGATATTTCTGAACTCCTGACTGTCTCACTTGCACCTGTGAAATTTTAATTTATGGAGGAGACTGAGAGACAACACAGAGACCAATGCCATTGAAAGAAGATGTTTATTACTTATATTATCCAACAGAAGGAGGCATGCCCCACCATGCAGAGCCACATGGGTGAAGCACCAGTTTTGGTCAGAAGACAGAAGTGACAGGAAAGCATGGGCCAGAACCTTTATTGGGGTTTCCATGGAAAAGGCAAGGCAAAGCAGGGCCACCAGTTTAGGACTGGCTGGTTTGAATAATCCTGGCAAACCTTAGGGGCATAGAGGCTGTCCCCAGTTGTCTTGATGCCTGGCCCTGGAGTAATTTAGAGTAGGGGAATATTGCCATCGTGTGTTAGAGTTTGATAAGGAGATGGTTTGAAGGATGGGCTCTGGGTTGGTTAGTTTGCATATAGAAGGTGTGCTCCCAGGTGAGCCCTTTGCTGTCTCTAAGAATTGGCTAACCTTGAGAGGGGCAGTCTCTACCCAGTCAGTGAAGCCACAAATGCCGGAGCATCAAGAATACAGAACATAAGAAAATACAGTTAACGTAATTGGCCCTGTAATGAATGGAGGCCAGAGAGACAAAGAATCTAAGAAAGCACAGAACACCAACCCACAGAAACTGTGCGATAATAAATTTGTGCTGTTGAGGCCTCTAAGGCTGTTTGTCATGAACCAATAGAAAATGAGAACAGTCCTCCAGGCACACTCATCCTCGTCCTGGGACCTCTCCGCAGTTTCCCAGAACTTTTCATGCAGCTTCCTTCTCTCTGGTACTTTTACCTGCAAATTCTAGCTTCCCTGACCTCCTTGAAGTCTTATTTTTGCTTCTTCAACTCAATGAGACCCCTGGAGTCTGTGTTGATTCCCTGTCCCTTCACTGCAGACCACAGGCACTAAGCTGGGGCATTGCAGGGCTTGGTCACTGTAGGGCCATTGTTTTCCTTCTCACTGCTCTCCTCTGCTTATTGTTCAGTGCCTGAAAACCATTGTTTTATATATTTTGCCCAGTTATCTCATTACTTATGGCAAGGAGGCAATTCCCATAGTAGTTAGTTTTTCATGGGTGGATGCAGAAATCCATGAACCCAAAAACCATTTAACAGTCAATATCGCTACTCCTGAGCCATACAGACAAAGGATAACAATAGAATGTTACTTCCAACTGGCATGTTGTCACTTGTGTATATGTTTGTATTCTTTGGTAGCAGCCCACAGAAATTAACTCTGGATAATTCAAGCAAAAAGAAATGTATAGTGTAGCTAATGGGTAACTCAGAGAGTGGCTGGTAGGCTGGAGAGCTAGCTGGCAGGAAGCAGAGTAGCTTGGTCATCTGGGTAGCAGAGAGCTTGGCACTCTCTAGTAGCTGCCACCACCAAACACTCCACCTCTGCTAGTTTTTTCATCCATCCTTGGGTTGCCCTGCTCAAGACTGCGGGTCCCCAAGGAAAGTGTTTGGCCTATCATGGGACAACTGTCTGACCTGGGCCAGGGTAAGGGGGTGTACCTTGCTCTACTATCCCACAAAAAGACACCCAAAGGGAAAGAGGAGATTCTCCCAAGAGAAGCTTAGGTTCTGATAGGAAGTGGGAAAGGATGTTGGATGGCCATGAAGAGACAAATGCCACTAGAGCCTTGAGGACGCACAACCGCCAATGATGTCTGACATTCTGCACATCCCAGGAGCTGGCAAACTTCCTCCCTTGAAAACTGCTTCCCTTCCTGCCAAGATCCCCTCCTCACCGTCTGGCCCCCGGATGCCCCACAGCCATCTGGCTGCCCTTTCCAAGTCTGTGGCTAAAAATGTTGACTCCTACAACCAGAAAGGACTTCAGGATAACCTTTTCTGTGCCCTTCTGAGTTGGAGACAGCTGATCAATAACACAGTCAGGCAGCACCATGTGGGGTCTAGAGGCTGCATGTCTTGTCCTAAGTCACGGCCAGTCACGCCCAGTGTGTAGCAAGCGCTGATGACAGGCCAGGCTCTGAGCTGGACACTGTCCACGCATCCCTTACACAACCCACCCAGCCATCGTAAGTGGTAATTTCTCTTTTCGGTGCTTACAGATGAAGATGCTGGGGCTTGGAGAGGTTAGATAACTTGTTTAAGGCTGCCAGCTAATAAATGGAGAGTCTGCCTTGGAGCCTGGGGCCCTGCAAAGTCAAGGCCAGTGATCTTAACCACCAAGTAATACTGCACTGAATACAGAGGACATTTTCCCCTCTTCGCTTGGTGCAAATAAGGACACAGGAGGGGTGGCCCCAGAGTCTTGAGGAAATGGTGACCACCCTCCCAGAGAGGGAGCAGTGAAGATTCACCATCATCTGTCTAGCACATGCTTTTGTAAAGGTGTTCATCCTGGGAGAACGTTTGCCTGTGTGCTGCTGAGAGGAGAGTTGAATGTGGTTGAAAGACCCCCACTGCAAGGAATGGGCCTGCTCCGCCCCTCAGTGGTTTGTGCCTCAACAAAGCTGCAGGATATTCCCAAGTCTTGGCTTTCTCATCTGGAAAATGAGAGAAGGAAAGACCTTCTTATCCCCTGTATGAGTTCTCTTCCATGTGTTGCAGGGAGTCTGTCCTACTTGCGAAAATTGTCTGTGCTCATGGGGAGGGGTGAAAGTGGGGCCAGGTGTAAGCTCATGTGTGGGGGTTGAAGATGAGGGTAGGGGCTTGGTAGTAAACTTCTGTGTGAAGGAGTGATGAAGACAGGGTGGGATGAGGTAATAACCCCTAACTACACTTCCCAGCACTGACCAGGGCACGTGTGCACATCTGGGGCCCCTTGTGCTGTGGCATCCAGAGAGGCAGACTCCACAGTGAGGCTTGGAGCTCTCCAGGCCACCCCATAGTCCCATAAATGACCCCCAAGTCCATCCAGCTCCTTTGGTCCAATCCTGAATTTGGCTTTGCTAAGCCACTCCCAGATTCTCTCAACACGGACCCTGCTCCCTGCCTCATAGTTCACAGAGACTCTAGAAGCTCTGTCTTTGACTTACCCAACTTCCCACTCTTCCCAGGGTCACTCTGTCCTCACCTATCCAAACCCTGAGCTTTCCATGGCCCAATTGTATCAATGATCCTCTTCTTGGTGTGTGTCCAGTCAATGGTGAAAATATGCTGAAGCACCCCTTCTGTAATGACTGACAGATAAATGTACAATGTCTTGGACCTTTCTTTTAATTCTCCCAAATCTAGCCAGACATACATGGCTTCTTCTCTTTCTTCCCATTCTTAAATGATGTATACACAAAAATTTTTTAAAAAATTGTTCTGTATCAAAACAATTTGTGTGGCTTAAAAAGTTTGTGGAATATTACTCAGCTTTGAAAGGGAAGGACAGTCTGACACATGCTACAACATGGATGAACTTTGAGGGCATTATGCTAAGTGGAATAAGCCAAATACTGGATGATTCCACTCATATGAGATGCCCAGTCAAATTCACAGAGACCAAATGTAGAATGTAGGTTGCCAGGGCTGTGGGGGGAGGTTAAAATGGGGAGTTAGTGTTTAATACAGACAGTGTCTGTTTGGGAAAATGAAAAATGTCTAGAGATGGATGGTGGTGTTGGTTGCATGACGATGTGAATGTGCTTAACACAACTGAACCATACACTTAAAAAGAGTTAAAATAATCAATTTTATGTTATGTATATTTCACCACAATAACAAAAGAAAAAAGCTCATAAAGCTTATAACAGGCCGGGTGCGGTGGCTCACGCCTGTAATCCCAGCACTTTGGGAGGCCAAGGCAGGCAGATCACGAGGTCAGGAGATCAAGACCATCCTGGCTAACTCGGTGAAACCCCGTCTCTACTAAAAATACAAAAAATTAGCCGGGCGAGGTGGCGGGCGCCTGTAGTCCCAGCTACTCGGGAGGCTGAGGCAGGAGAATGGCGTGAACCCGGGGAGCGGAGCCGGCAGTGAGCCGAGATCGCGCCACTGCACTCCAGCCTGGGCGACAGCGAGACTCCGTCTCAAAAAAAAAAAACAAAAAAAAAACTTACAACAAAAACCAGGTGGCGGCCCCATGTCACCTGTCTGCATACAATCCCTGCTCCCCGAAGGCAAGGCAACCAGTTTAAACTCTTAGCGTTCCCCCGTGGGTACTTCCATTGGTCTGAAGAACAGGCTTATACTGTTATTTCTTCATTTTTTCAGTTTGAAATTTTATCTAACTTCCTCTGATGGAAGACAATAATTTAACTCTTGTATAAGCCTCTTTCTTTCCCACAATCTACACACACACCCACATACACAAACACACACGTGTGCACACACTCACACATATACAAACACACATGCATGCACACACGCACACATTTTCTCTCCCTCTAGTCTCTCAACTCAATATTCAGTATTTATATTAGTATGATCATACAAATATTTTTTTAACAGCTGGGCTTTATAGTGTCCTCTGATTAGATTTTCTCTCATACAGCTCTTTGTTTTCCTGGGAATTTATGGTGACCTTTTTGCTAAGTTTTCTGCAAACTTCATTAATCATCCCGATATTTCTGAAAGAGGAATGAATCTCTATTTACTGGTGGAGTGTTTTTTTTTTTTTTTTTTTCTCGGAGACATGCCTCCCTAATCGCTCTGAATTGTTCCATGCACTCTGGGCCTGCTGCCAGCTACTACTTGGGGACCTCTCTTCCCCACCAGCCTGGGAAGTCACCAGTCCTCCCTGCCTTTGATGGTCTGTTGCATTCTTTTGATGAAGTGCATCCTCCAGCAGCTTCCCCGGACTTTAGGTTTCTGAAAGCACCTTCTTCTAACATCATACTCAGTTGGTCGTTAGTCTGGGAATTTCATTCCCACAGTTGGTAATAATTTTTCTGCACAATATTCAAAAGCTTTGCCCCCTTGTTTCTTAACTTTTTTTTTTTTTTAGACGGAGTCTCACTCTGTCACCCAAGCTGGAGTGCAGCAGGGCGATCTCGGCTCACTGCAACCTCCGTCTCCCGGGTTCAAGTGATTCTCGTGCCTCAGTCTTTCAAGTAGTTAGGATTACAGGTGCCCGCCACCATGCCTGGCTAATTTTTGTATTTTTAGTAGAGACATAGTTTCACCATGTTGGCCAGGCTGGTCTCGAACTCCTGACCTCAAGTGATCCACCCACCTTGGCCTCCCAACGTGCTGGGATTACAGGTGTGAGCTACTGCACCTGGCCAACACACCTGTTTATTCTTGTTGTTGTTTTTCTTCCCTTGCATATCCAACATTCCATTCATTTTTTCTGCCTGAATAATACTCTAATATTTCCTTTAGGGAGGTTAGCTGATAAATATTGTGTTTTTGATGCTCAAAAAAATCTTTATGTCATTCTCAGAGTAGGGATACAGGCTATTCCGAGAGGTATATCTTCAAGAAAAAACAAAATCAGAAGATTAGCTGATGTGTTTTACTGTGTTAGAGGAGATTTTTACTGAAAGGACAAAGAATCGGAATTCAATGAACAGAAAATGTCATCCCAGTTCGGGAGGGATGACTGATTTCACAGACCTGAGGATGCTGAAAGCTAAATATCTTCAGTGACAGAACCCAGAGAAGCAATCTGCCTCCCAAGGTGACGCTAACCCCAGAAGGGCTCAGGAATTGGAGGCACTAGAGCCCAGCAGGTGGACCTTTGTCATGGAGCTGGAAACAGAAGCCCCAGTTGAAATTCTGTTTCCAAAGCAGAAAGACTCCAAATCCTTTCTGCCATGGAGTAATCCAGATGAGAGAGAGGTTTACCCCTTGAGAGGCTGATCCAGAGGAAGTCCAGACTTAGGAGTATCTGTGATGGTTGCTCAACGAGAAATAGTGGAATTCACTCATCCATTCAGAAAGCATTTGTTGAATGGATACAGTGTACATGGCACAGTAACCCAGCTAATTTTTTGTATTTTTTTTTTTTTCTTTTGAGACGGAGTTTCGCTCTGTTACCCAGGCTGGAGAGCAGTGGTGCTATCTAGGCTCACTGCAAGCTCCGCCTCCCAGGTTCATGCCATTCTCCTGCCTCAGCCTTCTAAGTAGCTGGGACTACAGGAACCCTCGCCACCACGCCCAGCCAATTTTTGTATTTTTAGTAGAGACGGGGTTTCACCGTGTTAGCCAGGATGGTCTCGATCTCCTGACCTCGTGATCCGCCCGCCTCAGCCTCCCAAAGTGCTGGGATTACAGGCGTGAGCCACCACGCCCAGCCCCTAACTTTCAATGTTACTGTTGAGAATTCCAATGCGATTTTAATTCCCTATGCTTCGACCCTGTCCTACCCCTGCCACGCCCCACCTCCACAGGAAGCCATGAAAAGCCTGCAATTTCACAATGTAGTCCCTTGGTGAGAGTCTTGGTGTTGGGCGCTTGATGGGCCCTCTCTGTCTATAAACTCACTGCTTTTGCTCTGGGAAATTTTCTCCTCTCTGTCTTCTGAATTCTTCCTTCTTGGACATTGAAAGTTGGACTTTCTAAATCAATCCTCCAACAGATTTTTAAATCTGTTTTCTCCTATTGTCTTTATCACTATCTTTTTTATTCTACTGTCAGGATGAGTTTTCTTTCAATCCTTCTACTGAATTTTTAATTTCTTGGATCATATTTTGAATATTCAGGCCCTTTTTCTTATTCTTTGAAGTTCTTTTTGGTTTTATACTGTGTTCCCTTTTCGTGCATGCAAAACTGTCCTTTTCTCCCTAAGGATAGCAATGACACACACATATAGTTTTCGTTTTTATTTTTGAGACAGAATCTTGCTCTGTCGCCCAGGCTGGAGTGCAGTGGCGTGATCTTGGCTCACTGCAATCCCTGCCTCCCGGGTTCAAGTGATTCTCCTGCCTCAGCCTCCTAAGTAGCTGGGATTACAGGCACGCACCACCACACCCGGCTAATTTTTGTATTTTTAATAGAGAGGAGGTTTCAACATGTTGGTCAGGCTGGTCTCAAACTCCTGACCTCATGATCCGCCCGCCTAGGCCTCCCAAAGTTTTAAGTTTTCTTCTGCTCCTGGTATTGTCTCTTTTTCTTTTTCTGTTTGCTTTCATCTATGTTTTTTATGTTAGAGATGTTGCCTCCAAAGTCTGTGGATCTTTAATTACTCATTTGTAAATCAAGAGTGAGGTGACTGATGCTGATTGGGTTCTCTGAGTATGGGTGGCGCTTGTTGGCTGATGGCTTCATAGTAGGGAGATCCAGAAAAATTTGATTTTGCAGATCACATGCAAAGGGTAAGGACTCCAAATGGTATCGCTCATCTCCAGCCAGAAAGTGTAATTGGCTACGAGTGAGCTGGGGTCACAGAACAGGGGAAAGGGATGGAGAAAGCCTCACAGTTTAGCATGTAGGCTTCTCCTTAGTCCTCTCTAGAATGGGCAGGGACTTTGTCTTGTCTGGCACTGTAGCTGTGTTACTGTGCCATGTACACTGTATCCATTCAACAAATGCTTTCTGAATGGATGAGTGAATTCCACTATTTCTCATTGAGCAACCATCACAGATACTCCTAAGTCTGGACTTCCTCTGGATCAGCCTCTCAAGGGGTAAACCTCTCTCTCATCTGGATTACTCCATGGCAGAAAGGATTTGGAGTCTTTCTGCTTTGGAAACAGAATTTCAACTGGGGCTTCTGTTTCCAGCTCCATGACAAAGGTCCACCTGCTGGGCTCTAGTGCCTCCAATTCCTGAGCCCTTCTGGGGTTAGGGTCACCTTGGGAGGCAGATTGCTTCTCTGGGTTCTGTCACTGAAGATATTTAGCTTTCAGCATCCTCAGGTCTGTGAAATCAGTCATCCCTCCCGAACTGGGATGACATTTTTCTGTTAATTTAATTCCGATTCTCTTTGTCCTTTCAGTAAAAATCTCCTCTAACACAGTAAAACACATCAGTTAATCTTCTGATTTTGTTTTTCTTGAAGATATACCTCTCGGAATAGCCTGTATCCCTACTCTGAAAATGACATAAAGATTTTTTCTGAGCAAAGAAAAACACAATATTTATCAGCTAACCTCCCTAAAGGAAATATTAGAGTATTATTCAGGCAGAAAAGATGAATGGAATGTTGGATATGCAAGGGAAGAAAAACAATAACAAGAATAAACAGGTGTGTTGGCCAGGTGCAGTAGCTCACGCCTGTAATCCCAGCACGTTGGGAGGCCAAGGTGGGTAGATCACTTGAGGTCAGGAGTTCGAGACCAGCCTGGACAACATGGTGAAGCTCTGTCTCTACTAAAAATACAAAAATTAGCCAGGCATGGTGGCGGGCACCTGTAATCCTAACTACTTGGAAGACTGAGGCACGAGAATCACTTGAACCCGGGAGACAGAGGTTGCAGTGAGCCGAGATCACACCACTGCACTCCAGCTTGGGTGATACAGCGAGACTCCTTCTAAAAGAATAAATAGGTGTGTAATGTAAATAAATATTAATAGTATAACACAATGATAATATCTAACATAGTTTAAAATATATAGATAATTACAACACACAGCAACATTACATAAGGTGAGAATAAATGGACTTAAAGTGTTTTAAGGTTCTTGCAGTTTCATGGAGAGAGGGTCAATGTACCATCAGTATTAAATTTTGACATGCTCAGCATGCATGCTATGCTCTCTAGGATAACTATTAAAAAAGAGGAGTAACAAAAATGAACTAGGAAGCAAAGTACAATAGAGGAGATCAATGAAGCCAAAAGTTGGTTCCCTGAAAAGATCCATGAAGGACAGAAATCTCTGGCAAGACTTTTAAGACGAAGAAAATAGAATGCAAAAATACCTACTACTAGGAATTTAAAAGGGAACATTACTAGAGGTAACACAGATCAGATGGAAATTCAAAGTTAAAATGTGATAAACAACTTTACACTAAAAAATTGAAAATGTAGATAAAATGGTAAATTATAGAAAACACAAATTTACAAAACTTACATATGCAGAAATAGAAAGCTGGAATTCTCCTATGACTATTAAAGGAATTAAATCCATAATTTAAAACCTTTCCCAAAGAAAACTCTAGACTCAGATGGCTTCACCCATGAATCTAACCAAACATTTTAGAAGAAACAATGCCTCTGTTATACATAGCCTTTCAAAGAATACGAATAAAGGGAGAATTTCTCAACTTAGTTTATGAGGCTAACATAACCTTAATAACCTAAATCTGACCAGAGCATTGTAAAAAAGGATAATTACAGGCCAATATCACTTATGAATGTAGATGAAAAAATTCTCAAAAAGTACTAGCAATTCAGCAAATCATAAACAAGATAATACATTCTGATCAATTGAGTTTACTCCAGAAATGTTGACTTAACATTTGTAAATCTATCAAGGTAATGTTCACCCCACCACATTAACAGAGTAAAGAAAAAAAATCATATGATAATCTCAGTAGATACAGAAGAAAGCCTTGATAATATTCAACATCTATTTATGATTTTTAAAATCAAACATTGTAATAAAATAACAATAAAAATCTCAATTTAAAAATAGAAAGGGGCCAGGCACGGTGGCTCACACCTGTAATCCCAGCACTTTGGGAGGCCAAGACAGGCAGATCACCTGAGGTCAGGAGTTCAAGACCAGCCTGGCCAACATGGTGAAACCCTGTCTCTACTAAAAATACAAAAAAATTAGCCAGGCATGTTGGCACACGCCTGTAATCCCAGCTACTTGGGAGGCTGAGGCAGGAGAATCGCTGGAACCCAGGAGGCAGAGGTTGCAGTGAGCCGAGATCGTGCCACTGCATCCCAGCCTGGGTGACAGAGTGAGACACCGTCTAAAAATATCTCTCAACTCGACATGGTGGCTCAATGAACCTGCAAACCCAGCACTTTGGAGGCTGAGGTGGGAGAACAGCCTGGGCAACGCAGTGAGATTTTAATTTTTAACAACAACAAAAAATTAGCCAGGTGAAGTGGTGCACAACTGTGGTTTCAGCTACTTAGGAGGCTGAGGTGGGAGGATCACTTGAGCCCAGTAGTTTGAGCTGCAGTAAGTATGATGGTGCCACTGTACTCCAGCCTGGGTGGTAGCAAGACCCTGTCTTGCTCACTTTCTCTCTGAGTTTGAGAATAGACAAGCATGATTCCTATCAACACTTCTATTCACATTTTTATGAAATTCATAATAACTGAAATAAGACAAGTAAAATAAAAGTATATGTATTATAAAGTAAGAAATTAATCTGTTCTTATTCACAGCAGGTGTGCCAGAGTTCCTAGACAATCCAAAAGGATATACAGATAAATCATTAGAATTGATATATGAGTTTAGCAAGTTTGTGACTTATAAGTAGTGGGAAAATGAAGTCTTTAAAAATAACAGCATCAAAAATACCAAATACCTAGGGATAAATCTAATGAATATATTTACAGAGAAAATAATACTCTCTCTACACAGAAAGTGATAAAATATTACAGAGATAAATTTCTGAGAGAAATAAATAAATGAAGGAATATATCATCTTCATGGACTAGAACACCCACAGCATAAAGATACTAATGTGTATATAGATTCAACTCAATCTAAATCAAAATTACTGCAGTTTTTCATGGTGGATGGAGAGAAGAGATTAACAAGCCGATTCTAACATTAACATTGAAAATGCAAAAGGCCAGGAATAGCCAAGCTAATGTTCAAGAACAAAATAAGATGAATTGCTCTTACATATAAAGATATTGTTAAAAAACATTGTTAGCAAGTTATCGTGATTAAGATGATATATTTGCACAAGGAAGAACAAGCAAACTAAGGGAACTGAAATCCAAAGGAATCCAGAAATCGACTCACACACTTATAGATTCTTGATTTATGACAAAAGTGGCAGTGGTGTTCCCGAGCAGCTCAGAAAGGATGGCTTTGTCAATAAAGCTTCTGAGTCCATTAGACATCACTATAGAAAAAATGAAAGACCCCTATCTTGTACCAAACACAAAATCAATTCTGGGTGAATTACAGATCCAAAGAGAAAAGGTGAAATAATTAAGTTTCTAGTGGGCAACAGAAGAGACTCTCTTCTGCTCTTGAAATAAAGATTTCTTTTTTTTTTTTTTTTTTTTTTTTGAGATGGAGTCTTGCTCTGTCGCCCAGGCTGGAGTGCAGTGGCGTGATCTCGGCTCACTGCAAGCTCCGCCTCCCAGGTTCATGCCATTCTCCTGCCTCAGCCTCCCGAGTAGCTGGGACTACAGGCGCCTGCCACCAAGCCCGGCTAATTTTTTGTATTTTTAGTAGAGACGGGGTTTCACCATGTTAGCCAGGATGGTCTTGATCTCCTGACCCCATGATCCGCCCGCCTCGGCCTCCCAAAGTGCTGGGATGACAGGCGTGAGCCACCGCGCCCGGCCAAGATTTCTTAAGCAGACCTTAAGAAGAACCACAAAAGAAAAAGACTAATAAGACTATATTAAAATTAGAAATGCTTGTTTATGAAAAGTTGCCATTAAAAAGTTGAAAGGGGCCAGGTGTGGTGGCTCATGCCTATAATCCCAGCACTTTGAGAGGCTGAAGCATGAGGATTGCTTAAATCCAGGCATTGCAGACCAGCTTGTGCAACACGGCAAGACCTCATCTCTATACAAAATTTAAAAAATTAGCTGGGCATGGTGGCATGTGCCTGTGTTACTTGAGATGCTGAGGTGGAAGGTTCACTTGAGCCCAGGAGGTGGAGGCTGCAGTGAGCCATGATAACACCACTGCATTCCAGCCTGGGCAACAGAGTGAGATGCTCTCTTAAAAACAAACAAACAAACAAAAAGTTGAAAGGCAAGTTATAGAGAAGGAGAAGATATTTGCACACATATAACTGACAAGAGATTTTATTCAGAATGTATAAAGAAATCCTATGAACCCAGTACAAAAATGGGCAATAGACCTCAACAAGATTATGCAAAGAAAGGTTATTAACAAACACATGACAAATGGTCCAATCTAGTCATAATTAGCAAAATGCAAAATAAAATCACAAGATACCCTACACACCCACTGGGATGCCTAAATTAAAATAGAAAAATACTAACAATAATTGTGTTGGTAACCAGATGGTGTAATGGAAAAACATACACTGCTGATGTGAGTGTAAACTTGCACAACAACTTTATCCACTAAAGTTGACATTATCCACTAGAGTTGAAGATACAGACACCATATGAATGAGAAAATCCTCCCCTAGGTATATGCTCAAAAGAAATGTGCACTGAAAGACACATACATGAATATTCATAGCAGCTTCATTCATAATAGATTCAAATGGAAAATAACCCAAATGTTTATAAAGAATAGAATGGATAAATACATTGTACTATTAGCCCAAGATAATCTTATGCAGCATTAAAATGAATGTGCTATAGCTTCATGCAATAACATGAATGAATCTCACTCTCTTAGTCCATTCCAGCCCCTATAACAAAATACCATAAACTGGAGAGTTTATAAACAATAGAAATTTATTTCTCACAGCTCTGGAAGCTGGGAAGTCCAACATCAAGGCAGATGCAATAACTGGTTAGAGCTCTATATCTGGCTCATAGATGGTGCATTCTTGCTGTATGCTCACAGAGTGGAAGGGGTGAGGGTTCTCTCTCCAGCCACTTTTATAGGGACACTAATTCCATTCATAAGGGCTTCACCCTCGTGACCTAATCACTTTCCAAAGGCCTCACCTTCTAATACCATCACTGTGGGGATTAGAATTTGGGGGAACACAGACATTTACACCATAGCACTCACAAATAGAATATTGAGAGAAAAAAGCTAGACAAAGAGGAACATATATTTTATGGTTCCATTTAAACAAAGTACATGAACAGGCAAAATTAATGCATGGCAAGAGAAGTCAGAATAGTTTGGTTCTTTTGGGGAGGAGAGGCCAATGCTTAGGAGGGTCCTGCAGGTGGTTTCTGAGTTTCTGCTGTGTTATTTTCTCAGCTGGTGCAGTGGTTACCAGGCATGTTCGCTTTGTTTTAATTCATTGAGCTGTACATGAGGCTTTGTGCACTCTTCTCTGTGTTATGCTTTAATTTTCCAAAGTAAGAGGAAAAAACTAGCCATGAAAAGAAACCATCCGGGTCAGAGACTGTAGCAATGACTGTGACCTCATCAGCTGAATCGTCCTGCTGTGGGCCTGTGGTGGTGGCAGGTACTGCCCAGGTGCTATCCAGGTGCCACCAGGTCCTGTCCGGGTACTGCCAGATCCTGTCAGTTGCTACCCAGATGCTGCCCAGGTTCTGCCCAGGTATTGCCCAGGTGCCGCCAGATCCTGCCCAGGTGCTGCCAGGTCCTGCCCAGGTGCTGCCAGATCTTGCCCAGATGCTGCCCAGGTCCTGACCAGGTGCTGCCAGATCCTGTCCAGGCACTTCCAGGTCCTGCTCAGGCACTGCAACAGCAGCACAGGATCTTGGGGGCCAAAGCATCCCTGAAGCTGCTGCTAGGACCCCACCTCTCTGGAAGGCAGTATTCCCAGGGCCATATCTTATACTTTCAGTTAAAATAAATAAAACAGTTTATAAGGAAAAAAGTTAAAACCCCACCCCCAACCTCACAAACAGCAGCAACAGCAGCGTCAACAATACAACAAACATTAGTAAGTCGCCCTCGTCTCCCCACTCTTCCCACATGGCCTCTGCCTGCTGACACCATCTGCTTGCAAAACAAATACAAACCTGTGGTTCCTTTGCTTCAAATCCTCAGTGAACTCCAAGATGTCGAAAATGTCAAAGCTTCCAAGCACAGTCGATATACAAGGCTCCCCACAACCTGTATCGATCTACTTTTCCATCGTGATCACCTCTCTCTCCCACCCCTCCCTGTTCCTTGCTCCCTGTCCTCATCCTCCATACCACCACCCCACAGACCCTCACAGGCAAACATGCGCCCTCCGGCCACCGAGTGCTCTCTGTGGTCTAGCACGTCTTCTAATGTGCCATCCAACGCACTTCCCAACCCCACTGTCTGGACAAGCATTCATCTCTCGCTGTAGAGGTGACCTATCAGCTGGGTTTTTTTGTTTGTTTTTTGTTTGTTTGAGATGAAGTCTTGCTCTGTTACCCAGGCTGGAGTGTAGTGGCACGATCTCAGCTCACTGCAACTTCCATCTCCTGGGTTTAAGCGATTCTCGTACCTCAGCCCCCTGAGTAGCTGGGATTACAGGTACACACCACCATGCCCAGCTAATTTGTGTATTTTTAGTAGAGCTGGGATTTCACTATATTGGCCAGGCTGGTCTTGAACTCCTGGCCTCAAGTGATCCTCCCACCTCAGCTTCCCAAAATGCTGGGATTACAGGCATGAGCCGCCAAACTGGGTATGTTTTTTGAAGACTTTTCTCCCTTTCACTGGCCCCGGATTGAGTTGCTTTTTCTCTTTTCTGTTTTTTTTTTTTTCCTTAATTTAAGATTTTGTTTGCAATTCTAGCACGTATTACTACGTTGTCATTATTTCCATCTGGCTCTGAGCATGTCTTAGGCAGGAGGAATGTTCAAATATTCCTCATCTGCATATGTCTGGAGCCTTGGCACTCAATAGATGCTCAAAAAAAATGTCAGTTGAGTTTAACCAAGGAGGGTTGATTGGCCTTTCCATTCTTAAATTTCAACAAGGCTATTTATGCATGTTTTGCCTTGGGACTGAGGAAGCATAGGCAGAAATGTTGTGAAGACAAGAAAGGGATGGTTCATGGCAGTAAGGAAGACCACTATTTAGAATTGGTGTTGCCAGCTCCTGAAAGCAAGCTTGAAGTCCTAGGCATGTCCTTACAAGTGAAAGGTGGCAGTTGTGAAGTCACAGCAGGTCAAAAGGATGGCCCGGAGGTAGAGCATTTGACTGAAGGTCAGAAAGTACTTGATACAAAGAGAGGAACAAAAGACCATGGAAGTGACAGTGTGTGACTTTTGAAGCTAGACAATAAAAGCATGGCAGCTTCCACCTTGGTCTTTTAGATTTATCACTCTTAGGGGAAGCCAACCTCCATGCTGTGAGGATGCTCAAGCAACCCTGTGGAGGCTGATGTGGAGAGGGACTGAGGCCCTCAGCTCATAATCTGCATCATCTTGCCAGCCATGGGAGAGAGCCACCTTGAAAGTAGGCCCTCCAGCCCCAGTCAAGCCTTCAGATGACACAGCTCCAGCTGACATACAACTATAACTGCAAGGAGAGACCTCTAAATGAGAACTGCTCAGTAGTGTCCATCTTGAATTTCTGGCCAATAGAAACTATGGAAGTAAGACATGTTTAGTGTTGTTTGAAGCTCTAAGATTTGCTGTGATTTGTTTTGCAGCATTAACTAATCAAAATACCAGGTGAAGAAGACGAGTAGGGAAGGGCATTTGAGGTAGAGGATGCAGTATAAACAAAGGCTGGGCAAGGAATCACATGTGTCAGGGGAGCAGTGAGAAGGGTAGTGTGGGCCATGGGAGGCATTGAGGGCATGATGGCTGGAGAAGGCAGCAAAGTCTAAATTGCCATGGGCCATGAGTTCCATGGGATGAAGTTTATATTTTGTCCTGTGAACACTGAGGATCCACAAACGGTTTTATTCAGGAGATGAAAATAATCTGCTCAGATTGTTCAGGAATCTCACAGTGTGATCACATTGGACAGGAGAATCCAGTGGAAGGAGTTACAGGGATGTGACTTTAGAGTCACAGTGATTCAGGCAAGAGTACATGAAGCTGTGGCAGTTTGGGTAGAGACAGTGGACGAAAATTTGGAATAAAAATCTATAAGATTTGGGCTGGGTGCAGTGGCTCATGCCTGCAATCCCAGCACTTTGGAAGGCCGAAGTGGAAGGCTCACTTTAGCCCAGGAGTTCAAGACCAGGCTGGGGCATCGTAGTGAGACCCCATCTCCACAGAAAATTTAAAAATCAGCCTGGCGTAGTGGTACACACCTGTAGTCTCAGCTGCTCAGGAGGCTGAGTTGGAAGTATTACTTGAGCCTAAGAGTTTGAGGCTGCAATGAGCTATAATCAGGCCTGTGCACTCCAGTCTGGGCAACAGAGTGGATTTGGTAACTTTTTGGACTGAAAGGTGAGGTGAGTTGGAAGCAGGGAGGTGAAATACACAGAGGACCCCAGCTTGGAAGCCTTGAGGGCTTGCAATGTTCTTACTATTAATAATTTTTATTTTTATTTTTAAAATTTATTTTAAGAAATAAATTATTTCATGATTATTATTCTATGTAGTCAGTCTTCTTCCCACCAAAGACAAAAAGTTAGATATGCCTGGAAGTTAGAAATTTAAATAGATCCCAGCTGCAGATGAAATTGGGATCAGAAAATGAGGGGAATGGGAAGAAAAGAAATATGACTTTGCGCTAGAGATGATTTTGTACCAGTGATTGCCCTGAGGAGTTTGCACTGATATCTGGAGGAAGGCTTTTGCTAGTGGAGTGGGACTATCTCTCCACGATGCACCGATTTGCCTCCACCCATGTACATATGGAATACAAAGTTCCAGGCTCCCCCTCCTCTCTCTTCCCCTCTCTCTGGAGGATGCTGGATGAGGGGTGGTGGGGGTGGGCTGCACAGGGTGTGGGAAAGGATGTGGGAGTCTCTGGCCAGTCACCGCAGGAGCCAGGAGTCTGGGTTGGCTATTTGTTCCCCTTAGGTCATTGTGTCCAGGGGGAAGGGAGGCTTTCTGGAAAGAATGTGTTTAGTTTGTATCAGGGGCGGTGAGAGCCGCATTTCCACATTGGGACGTTTCCTGGATGCATTGCCCTCTGTCCACAAGCAGAAATGGAAGTAGCCAAGGCAGGCGGGTGGGGCCCAGGCAGCAACCAGAGTGGCAAGTGAGAGGCCAGAGGGAGCAGATGGAGCAAGTCCCGCTTATAAGTTGGGTGGAGTCCTCGGCGATGTTGCAGCACAAACCAGCCGGAGTTGAGCTCCTGGGCATAACGTACAGGTTTGTCCACACGTGGTCTCCTTGCCGGGACCCCAGTTGTCCTGGTTGTGAGGATTCTGAGACTCAGTGACTTGCTAACAATGACACAGATGGCAGGAGGCAGAATCAGGATTCAAACCTACTCAAACGTACCACAGGGTTTCTGCAGAAACAGAGAGAACCTGCTAGAAAAGTCATTGTGAGGCTAGCAAAGCTTGTCTGCTGCATTCTATTTCTTTGTCACAGACAAATAAGACATTACAGCCTTACAGGCTGGCTTTTGAGGGGTGGGAGAGGAAGAAAACAAAATACTCTTGCTGGATAAAAACGTAAACCATAGGAGACACCTGGACTTGAAGCAGGAACCTCTTGGCGTGTAGGCAGAGGCTCTTCCACCAAGCTATACCCTCTACAGTGGCAGGCTCCTCTCATTAGCGCCTTTCAAGGCTGCAGTCCCACGCCTCTTCTGATCTCTGGCTGTTCCCGGGCTCTCACTTTCGGGGAACTGGTGCTGGCGCCCCACCGCCACGACTCACTCACGGATTCACTCCTACACGTCACCAGCATCACCCTCCTGCCCAGGTGCCGCTCCCTTTTATGGAGTGTCTCTCCGGGTCCACCTCCCTCCAGCTGCTGCTTTGCTGTCCCTGGGGCGAGGGCTGTGAGAGCAAGGCCTGCAGAGCTCCCCGTAACCATAGCTCTCACCTTGCCTCAGGCCCGGGACACTGGCCAGGGAGCTCAAGGCCTCGTCCTGCCTCCTCTGGGATCGAGTAGGACTGCAAGAAGAACCTGTCCGGGACACCCGTTCTCCTCCCTTCCCTCACCGGCCTGACCGTCTTCTCTCTGCAGTTGCTGTTGTCCTGCTATTAGCACTCCCTGCCCCTCCTCTACTCGGATTCTTATTCCCTGATTCCCATACGGAAAATCGTGGGACTTGCCAGCCTCCATAATTTCATGAATCAACTCCTTAAAATTAATCTCCATATAGATAGATGATAGATAGATAGATGATAGAGCTATATTTCTCTGTCTACCGATACAGATCTATCTATCTGTATCAATCAATCTATGTCTATCTATCTACCCATATATCCACCCACATCCAATTGGTCCTGTTTCTCTGAAGAACCCTGACTACGATACCAGCTAAACCCCTGTTCAATAACAATGAAAAGATGAGAACCTTTCACTGATAAAAACTGAGAGAATTTGCCATCAGCAAACTCTCACTAAAGTAAATTTTATTGTCTTTTGAGACAGGATCTCACTCTGTTGCTCAGGCTAGAGTGCAGTGGCATGATCGTGGCTCACTGCAGCCTTGACCTCCCAGTGGGGAGGTCCTTAAGAGATCCTCCCACCTCAGCCTCTCAAGTAGCTGGGACTACAAGGGTGTGTCATCATGCCCAGCTAATTTTTTCTTTCTTTCTTTTTTTTTTTTTTTTGGTATTTTTTGTAGAGACAGTTTCACCATGTTGTCCAGACTGGTCTCAAACTCCTGGGCTCAAGTGATCCTCCTGCCTCAGTCAACCAAAGTGCTAGGATTATATGCGTGAGCCACTGTGCCCGATCTAAAGTAAGTTTTAAAGGATATTTTTTCAGGAAGAAGACAACTGTATACAGAAGGAATGAATGATAGGAAATAAGAGAATTAGAAAAGAAATTTAAGAATCTGGCTAATGTAACAAACATTAATTGAGCAGAAGACTAATAATACAATAATTATTTATTTTTAAATTGATAATCATGCAGGTATTTGGGCATTAACAAAACAAGGTGAAGCCAAATACTTGCTTTAACAATAAATTGACCAGGTGCGGTGGCTCACGCCTGTAATCCCAGCACTTTGGGAGGCCAAGACGGGTGGATCACTTGAGGTCAGGAGTTCGAGACCAGCCTGGCCACTATGGCGAAACCCTGTCTCTATTAAAAATGCAAAATTAGATGGGCGTGGTGGCGGGCGCCTGTTATCTCAGCTACTTAGAAGGCTGAGGCATGAGAATCACTTGAACCTGGGAGGCAGAGGTTGCAGTGAACCAAGATTGTGCCATTGCACTCCAGCCTAGACAAAAAAAGCAAAACTTCGTCTCAAAAAACAAAAACAAAAACAATAATGAATGCACATTTTTCAAGCACAAATAGAACATTTATAGAAATTGACCATATTACAAGTCTAATTTTAGCACATTATAAAGAATTAGTATAATACAAACCTCATTCTCTGACAAAATGTAGTAAAGGCAGAAATTTGTAACAAGTAACTTCTAAATAATCATGTATGCTTTGACAACAGTTGAAAGACTTCTGAATTAACCATGGGTCAAAGAAAAAATTGCAATGAAAAATGAAAATACCTGGAAGCAAACAATAATAAATGTTATCATCAAAACCTGTGAAATGGCTCCAGAGAGGGACGTCCCCAGGATTGACTCCTAAAAGTGAAAATGGAGCTCAGCAGAGTGGCTCACAACAGTGACTCTCAACAGTAACTCCATCTCCAGTGCTTCCGATAGGCTCTCTCCCTCTCCTTCCCCACCGAGGTACATGCTGGGTTACAGCAGTCAATCTCCTCCTTACTGGAGTGCTAATAATTGGCTTCAGAAAGGCGTCCAGAAACCCTGGACTGGCAGAACCTCAATGCGGTTGAAGGTATGGAGCCTGGGCCTCAGATGTGCATCACCAGACCCCTGAACTTGTAGATGCAACCTAATTTGACCAGGTTCTCAAGGTAGCCCTAATTAGACTCTCAAAGACTGATACATAATAAGCCAGAATGTTCTTCAGGTTACCTGGGAAACTAAGAGCCATCAGAAGGTTGCTTAGTGAGGCTGCAATCAGAGCAAATGGAATTGAAAGCTCTTGAGGGGATTTTCTCAGGTCATAGAAAATTATCATGAGTGATTCTTGTTCCGAAGTATTGTCCCCTCTCTAGAGGCCAAAATCTCACATCCACGGAACTGAGACCCTCACTGACTCCTTGCTCATCCTTGGCAGGTCACTGAGTCCTGTCATTCAGTCCCCTGGACCTGGACACCCGTCGTCACTGCTAGTGTCTTGGCTCTGTGATCTACTATGTGTGTCCAAATCTCAGTCCACAAATTGAGGAGTAGAGGACTGTGACTTTACTCTTTTACAGAACAGCTTGATTTCTATTTTGTGTCCTGTCCTGCTGGGCGACAGAAATTTAATGACTCATCTATAAATCCTCCCAATATTTCCCCCGTGTTGCCCCTAAATTCGGCAGTGGCTTTAGGAGTGCCACAGCACTGGAGGTGGGGTTAGGGGTTTGCTTCTTCACATCATCTTGACCACATGTGAGTGTGGGATATTCTGGTTTCCTGCTGCCTCGGGGTCCTTGCTGTTCCCCACTGTGCCTTCTCCTGCCAGCCTTGCCCATATGGCTCTGCCATGCGGGGACAGTGCTACTTCTGTGCCAATCTTTATTGCCTGAGTCCCCCAGCACCCAGACTGCTGAAATTAAAAGATGAGCACCGACAATTTGCATTCTATGGCGTCATTCCTTCCCTGTGGTGTGAAAGGCACAAGGCCTACCTGTCTGGATGAGAGGGCAGGTGGTGACAGCAGCCACAGGTGGCGACAGCAGCCACAGGGGACAGAAACCTTGCTTTTTTTTTTTTTTTTTTTTTTTTTTTTGAGATGAAGTTTTGCTCTTGTCACCTAGGCTAGAGTGCAATGGCGTGTGGTCTCAGTTCACTGCAACCTCCGCCTCCTGGGTTCAAATGATTGTCCCGCCTCAGCTTCTCAAGTAGCTGGGATAACAGGCGCCTGCCACCACACCCAGCTAATTTTTGTATTTTCAGTAGAGATGGGTTTTCACCATATTGGCCAGGCTGGTCTTGAACTCCTGACCTCAGGTGATCCACCCACCTCGGCCTCCCAAAGTGCTGGGATTACAGGCGTGAGCCACCGCGCCTGGCCGTGAAACCTCGCTTCTTATCTCCCATTATGAAGACCCAGCTTCTCAAATGTTCTCTGTCTTCCCTCCACCTCCCTATGACTCTCCATCCTTCCCAGAACAGGTCTTATGGGGGCTTTCATATGACCGGCCGCTACATGCTTTCCATTAATTGCCTCCTTTTGTCTTCACAACGAGATAGGTATTGTTATTATCCCCAATTTACAAACAAAGAAACCAAAGCTTAGAGACATTCAGTAACCTAGACAGTCTAACATCAGAACCAAAGTTCATGATCATATTACAAGAATTCTTTCTAAAACAAGGTTACAAAGGGTCTTTGCCTACCTGGCATTGGGAGATAAAACATCTGCCACTTCCTTATTGTCTGATTTCCCTTCTTGGATATTTGGGAAATAACAGCTCACCACCCGTGACTTTAGGCTGTGAGGTTATGAAACAGTTAATTAGACTGCCGTTTCATTTATTTTATTTTGTGTATTTTTTTCTTGGATGTGGGCAAATCTCATTTTAATTGCAAAAGACTTCCTTTACATCACATTCAATAATGAACCAACAGGAGAACTGCTGACTTTGGAATGTATGAATATATAAAAATCCCTTGTAATACAGGTAGTCAAGATAATAAGTGCATGCAAGGAAAGCAATCCTCCTCATTTTTCTGAAAACTGTTTTACATTTTAAAAGGTGGCTAGGCATACTTGGAAGTTCAAAGCAGTAGGATGCACCGTGCAGGGAAACAAAGAGGAAAGCCCTTTTCCATGTTGTTAGGCAAATATATATCAAATATACCCCACTTCCACTTAATAAAGTCAGTTGGATGAGTTCTTTGAACCAGGCTAGGGCAGAATACTCAGTAAAACTGGGCTCTGGGTGGGGATGCGAATCCAGGAGAAGAGGAGCACCAGATCCCATCCGTTCCCCTCTCTAACACAGACGAGGCACGCTGCCCCTTGTCCCTGGACATAGGACGCACCAGCACAGTCCTCAGATAGTTACTGCACCCACTGCCTGGTGCTTTCCAACGGTCTTAATTTACGCCATGGAGAAAATCCTTTACCACCAAACACAAACTGTCATTGAACTTAAGTCATAAAGGATGTTATGGGGGAAATTCTTGTTTGAAGAAGAATTTCTTCGTCAGTTTGAAGAAGTCACTTTGGTTGTTCCTTCACATGAACACTTCTCTCTGGGTCACTTCTGCTGACCTCAGTCCCACCCAGTGCGACTGGAAACAACATGGAAAAGGGCTTTCCTCTTTCTTTCCCTGCACGGTGCATCCTACTGCTTTGAACTTCCAAGTACGCCTAGTCACCTTTTAAAATGTAAAACGGTTTTCAGCTAGAAGCGATTCTAGCTTCACGCTCATGGGCTGATGTTATATTCAAGTGACTTTATCTTCAGGTTCCAGGAGTATCACCATCCCAGAACAAAAGTGGGAGGGTCCTTGGAGAAACTGGAGGTAAGCACTTTTCTGCTTTAAAAATCTCTGGGCAAGATGAACCAGGAAGCCCATCCCTGAGGCAGGAACCTACCTGCAGAGCAGCTAAGGTTTCTAAGGACGTTTGCCACCTAGCCTTGTGTTGCTAGTGACGCTAGTGAACCGGGAACCAAGGTGACTGGTTCTGAGTGTGCCTTCTTTTTTTTGTTTCTCCTTGTTTTTCAGCAAAGTTCCTATTGGAAATGTCAGCCTGTCTCCATGGTGCTAAGAAAAGTAAGGAAAGAAAGTTTTCTCCAGACACACCAATATGAACTCCATTAACATGAGATAGAAAACTAACTCAGAAACTTAGAATCAGAACCTTAAAATCAGATCCTCATTATGGAAAATTTCAAATATACACAAAAACAGTAGTCTCTTCCATCTAGATCCAGCAGTCCTGGTGGGTGAGACCTGATTTAATTAGATTTATTTTAAAATTTAAAATGTATATTTTAGGCTGGGCACAGTGGCTCATGCCTGTTATCTAAGAACTTTGGGAGGCTGAGGTGGGAGGATTACTTGAAGCCGCCAGGAGTTTCAGACCAGCCCGGGCAACAAAACAAGACCCCAGTCTCTACAAAAAAAATTTTTTTTAAAAAATTAGCTGGGTGTGGTGGCAGTAGCTGTGGTGCCAGATACTGGACAAGCTGAGGCAGAGGGTCCCTTGAGCCCAGGACTTTGAGGTGGCAGTGAGCCCTGATCGCGCTGTCACAGGATGCTTCGCAGTGAGCCCTGACCTCACTGTCATGGGATCCTTCGCAGTGAGCCCCGATCCTGCTGTCACAGGATCCTTTGCAGTCAACCCTGACCTCACTGTCACAGGATCCTTCGCAGTGAGCCCTGACCGCGCTGTCACTGGATCCTTTATAGTGAGCCCTCATCACAGTCACAGGATCCTTCACAGTGAGCCCTGATTGTGCTGTCACTGGATCCTTCGCAGTGAGCCCTGACCATGCTGTCACTGGATCCTTTGTAGTGAGCCCTCATCACAGTCACAGGATCCTTCAGTGTTGACTTTGGTATCGCTTCGCCAGTGGGAAACTTCTGTGGCCAGTGGCATCTCTGCTTGAGTTTTGCTCGTGGCCGCTGAGCTCCTTCCACCTACTTGGTCTGGCAGGCTGTGCTTAGTTCACGCTACCAGCCCAGATCCCCCACCTGCCATGGGCAAGCCAAGTGCGGAGCAGAGAGGGGTGTGTGAGTGTGCAGGTATGGGGTCTGGCCAGTGCACGTAGCCAGGCACACCAGCTGCTATGGTGGGGTGGGCAGCTCCGGGCACGGGCACAGGTGCCAGCTCTGTGTGAAGCTGCAGCTGGACCTTCCACCACAGGCACCAGCAACTGGACGAGGGGAACGCATTGGTGCCCAAAAGCTTGGAGATGCCAGGAACCGCAGAGCCCCAAAGGGTGTTACAGCATGTCACGGTCTTGGCTTGGGGAGGCCCACAGCTCTTCTCTCCTTCTCATCACTTGCAGTGTGGCAAGTGGGGTTGGGGGTGTTTTGGGGTAGTATTTCAGCCAGTTTGTGTCACAGTTCTTTCAGTCCCACCGCCCCGCTCTGGCCTGAAGCTCCTGGGCTAGTCTGGCCCTGCCTCCTGTCACTGCTGACAGAGGGCGGGAGGGCTATAGTGTTACAGCTCTGGCTTGGGGAATCCCAAGGTCTGGGCCTCAGAAAGGTTACCACTCTTAACTCCCACAGTCCAGACGCGTATCACTGCCCACAGCCTGGTGAGCCAGCCAGCGAAGTGTTACAGCTCCTTTTGCTTCCACTGTGTGGTGGGTCCCAAGTTCCTGTCCTGTGTCCAGGAAGAATGAGGCTACTCAGACAACTGGAGGGTGAGCAAGGCAGAGAAGAGCTTTATTGGGTGACTGAACAGCTCTCAGCAGAGAGGAGACCCAAAGTGGGTAGCTCCTATCCACAGGCAGGTAATCCCAGAGTGTATGAGTCTGGCTGAGTCCAGGGATTTTTATGGGCTCAGAATGGAGGAAGTTCATGCTAATTGGTCCATGGTGGGCCTGGAAGAAGCACCACTTGATTGGCTGAAAGGCATCAAGGAAGTTTTTTCACTCCGGGTAGCGGACTTCACTGGGACCTGGCAGCCTGGCCTCCAGGCTTCAGTCCATCCTTGGCTTGAAGGTGGGGTTTCATCTGGGACCCGTCCTTTCCTACCCAGAAACCTGTCTGCCTCCTGCCACCATCAACACCATTGCACTCCAGCCTGGGCAACAGAGCGGAGGCCTCATCTCTTAAAAAAAAAGAATAAATAAAATAAAAACAAATAAAAAATGTATATTTTAAAAATAAATACCGAATTCATAGAACTCACACAATACAATATTCTAAAGGAACGAAAAAGTAGGCAGTGAAAATTCTCCCTCTTGTTTATCTACCAAGACTCCACTCACTGGGGGAAGCCCATGTCTTGTGTTTCTTACATATTCTTCCATAGATAATTTGTACGTCTGAGGAGTTATTAGTGCATATTTTCTCCTACCTTTTCTGTAAACACAAATGATAGCACAGCATATACATCTTGGTTTTTTTCTACCTCATTTAATTTTATAGTCTCCAGATGCCTTTAGTGGTGTCATAGGGGTAAGTTTTCCAGCTGAAATTTGTAGTAACATTAATGGGAGGGGGAACGTTACCACAAAACCCGATAGCGGAAAGGGAAGGAAACTTGGGAATAGAGGGCACCCATATTTGAACCAGGGACCACTTGATCTGCAGCCAAATGGTTTACTCCTCAGCTATACCCCCTTGCCTGAGGGACATTCCTTCTTAGCACATTTCACCTGTGTAGCCACACCCAAGACACTACATTTACTATAATACCTAATGTTTTTGTGCAATTATTTTGTTCTAAATAAATTGTAAGAGCTTCATATATATAATTTAAAAAATTATTTGTGGTAGTACTATCACTACTACCACCATCATCATTGATGACAATGACATATGGAATTGAAGCAAATTGCCCCAAATCAGTGTTAAGTGACAGAATCAAGAACTAAAGGCAGGGCGTGGAGAATCATGCCTGTAATCCCAGCACTTTGGGAGGCTGAGGCAGATGGCTTGCTTGAGCCCAGGAATTTGAAACCAGCCTGGGCAACATGGTGAAAACCCATCTCTACAAAAAAAAAAAAAAAATATATATATATATATATGTATATTATATATATATAAAATAGCTGGGCATGGTGGTGCACACCTGTAGTCCCAGCTACTCAGGAGGCTGAGGCAGGAGGACTGCTTGAGCCCAGAAAGTCAAGGCTGCAGTGAGCCAGCCTGGGTGACAGTGCAAGACCTTAAAATAAATAAATAAATAAATAAATAAATAAATAAATAAATAAATAAAGCTAAACAGCCACTACATTATCCAGCCTCCACTAGGCTGCTCTTTATTTTGGGTTGGGTCTGCAGGGCTCTGCTGCCTCCCAGTGGACCCCTCTCCCTGCTCTGTTACAACCTCATCCCCCGCCTCCTCCCTGCCAGCCCTCCCTGCTTTTATATAATGGGGTTGCCCAGAGAAGGCCATTTAACCCAAGTGCCCTGAGAGGGCCCAACATTGGCTTCTGGAAGTCAGAACATTTATTTATTTATTTTTGCCAGTGGTAATTAATTTTATCGCAAGTTATATACATTTGCAATTTGCTAAAATTCTTGTTATTCTTACAAATTGCCAATAAATGTTCTCAATTTCATTGAAGAAAACCAAATTAATAAATTAGAATTATTTCTGGTCAAAATACTTTCAGAAAGGAATCGCTTAGGAGGCTATACACCACAGAAACAGCGACATTTGTCAGAATTATTTATTGTGATAAACTACTTACAGACCTCTTATGTAACAGAATATTTTTAATAAAAGTTTATATTTTAATAGCAGCTAAATGGAGACATAATAACCTTTTTAAAAATGAGCTATAATTTATACATCATATACTTCACCCTTTTAAAGTATATAATTCAGTGGTTTTGGGTATATTCACAGATTGTGTAACTATCACCACTATCAAATTTCAGAACATTTTCATCACCCCGGAAAGATACCCCAAACCCATCAGCAGACATCACTCCAATCCCACCTCCCCCAGCCCCTGGCAATGAGACACGTTAGCCTTCGAGTAGAGCTGGCTATTTTGCAAAATCACAGGGGTGGGGGAAGCCTCAAGAAATCATCTAGTTCATTTCCTACCCTTAAGAGCCTCTGAAGGGAGATCCACCATCTTCTATGGAAGCTACTGTGTACTCTAAAAATTAATATAAGGGAAGCAGCCAAATGATATCTATATTATCCTAGGTAAAATGGTTTCTATATTCAGAAGAGCTTGCTTAACTTATTTTACAGCTATATTTTCAATTTGGGATCAAACCTTAATAGTGTTAGATATTAATACATCAGAAATTACTCTCAGATTCACCACATTATTTGATAATTTTTCTACTATTTGGTTGCTTTACTTTTAATGTGAGCATTAGGTTTCCTTTTTTTTTTTTTTTTCTTAAATCCCTACAGACAGCATTAGGTTTTCTGTTGTGCCCCCTGAATCTTACTGTATACAAAAGTAAGTCGAGCCACTTTAAGGAAGTCAACAGGCCTTTGGCTGTTACTTTGTTGTCATAGATTTTATTGGAAAAAGACAGTGGCACCTAGATGTCTCACCAAGATGTATAATGCATGTTCAAAAGCAGACCCTAGCTTTTTTTTCCCCTCAAAAACAGATCTGAAGAGTCTCAGTCAGAGACACAGAATGATTCTGTAAATGTAAGCTACAAATTGTCTAGGGTAATAAAAGAAAAATCTTGCCCTGCCTCCAAATCTGGTAACTATTTTTTTTTAGAATTTTTTTATTTCTATAGGTTATTGGGGAACAGGTGGTGTTTGGCTACATAAGTAGGTTCTTTAGTGGTGATTTGTGAGATTTTGGTGCACCCATCACCCGAGCAGTATACACTGTACCCAATTAGTGAACTTTTATCCCTCAGCCCCTTCCCACCCTTTCCCCTGAGTCCCCAAAGTCCACTGTGTCATTCTTACGCCTTTGCATCCTCATAGCTTAGCTCCCACTTATGAATGAGAACATACGATGCTTGGTTTTCCATTCCTGAGTTACTTCCCTTAGAATAATAGTCTCCAGTCTTATCCAGGTTGCTGTGAATGCCATTAATTCATTATTTTTTATGGCTGAGTAGTATTCCATTGTATATGTATACCACAGTTTCTTTATCCACTCATTGATTCATGGGCATTTAGTTTGTTTCCACATGTTTGGAATTGCCAATTTTGCTGCTATAAACATGCATCTGCAAGTATCTTTTTCGTATAATGACTTCTTTTCCTCCGGGCAGATACCCAGCGGTGGGATTGCTAGGTCAAATGATAGTTCTATTTTTTGTTATTTAAGGAATCTCCACACTGTTTTCCATAGTGGTTGTACTAGTTTACATTCCCTCCAGCAGTGTAGAAGTGTTCCCTTTTCACCGCATCTAACCAACATCTATTATTTTTGATTTTTTTGATTCTGGCCATTCTTGCAGGAGTAAGGTGGTATCACATTGTGGTTTTGATTTGCATTTCCCTGATCATTAGTGATGTTGAGCATTTTTTCATATGTTTGGTGCCCATTTGTATATCTTCTTTTGAGAATTGTCTATTCATGACCTTAGCCCAATTTCTGATGGGATTATTTATTTTTTTCTTGCTAATTTGTTTGAGTTCCTCATAGATTCTGGATATTAATAATCTTTGTATAGATTACAAAGATTTTCTCCCACTCTATGGGTTGTCTGTTTACTCTGCTAACTGTTTGTTTTGCCATGCAAAAGCTGTTTAGTTTAATTAAGTCCCGGCTATTTATCTTTGTTTTTATCGCATTTGCTTTTGGGAAAGTCAGAACATTTAAACTGAGGTTTTCTAAATGTGTGAATTAGTTAGCTTTTGTATGAGTAACGACTTCACGTGGCTCAGAGTTTAAAATGTACAAGTTGTCACCTGGCCAGCATGTAACCTCTTTGCTGGTTTCTTGTACACTTTCAAAAGAGAAACATTTCTCTTAGAGCCCCAGAGTTAATTTTATTTTAGTTTATTTCTTAGTTTATTTAGTTTAGTTCTTAGATCTGTATACACATATGTACACAAAACTACATACAAATGCCCTGTACTTAACAGTTTTATACGGCTATAAAAACAAAATAATTTTAGAAATCCTGCCATGGGTGGTGGCTCAGGCCTGTAATCCCAGCACTTTGGGAGGCTGAGGCGGGTGGATCACCTGAGGTCAGGAGTTTAAGACCAGCCTGGCTAATGTGGTGAAACCCGTCTCTACTAAAATTACAAAAATTAGCTGGGCATGCTCACATGTGCCTGTAGTCCCAGCTACTCGGGAGGCTGAGGCAGGAGAATCACTTGAACTCAGGAGGCGGAGGTTGCAGTGAGTCAAGATCACACCACTGCACTCCAGCCAGGGCAACAGAGCAAGACTCTTGTCTCTCAAAAAAACCAATTTTTTTTTAGAAATCATTACAAATGAAATCATAAATCAAATAACACTCAAATAATTAGTTTCATTCAGAGGAAACTAACTCGCTAGAACTAACAGGCTCTGTGTAATGTGTTTGTGAGGCTGTCCCTCACAAGCCTGTGAAGACCCGCTGGGCCCCAGCACGTCTGGGAAACCGCCTCTGTGAGCACAACTCTCACTTCCCTCTCTTGTGGACTTAGTTGAGCTTCTGTTCTTTTGCCACCACAGGTATTAAAGCACCACATGGTGACAAGTGAATCACAAACACACGCGTACAGGCACACCCAAGCACACAGTGCCTAGAAACAGCTTTTTGTTGTAAAGTGTCCACCCAAACAAGTCCTAGAATGCCCATATTAAAAATGCTAAGATTGTGATTAAAATTTGAATAGAAAAATTCTTCGGAGAGTTCAGGGACTGCTGGAAAACACGGATCTAGCTGCCTCCTCCATGCCACCCACCTGGAAAGAGACTCAGAGGCCTGCCTGTGTCTGATTGGGCTGTTGACAATGGTCAGGGCTATGACTCCAAGCTGGGCGCAGTTGCTCGGGCCTGTAATCCCGGCACTTTGGGAGGTGGTGGCAGGGGGACTGCTTGAACCCAGGAGTTTGAGACCAGCCCAGGCAACAAAGCAAGACCCTGTATCTACAAAACATACAAATCACCTGGGTATTTTTTTGTTTTTTTTTTTTGTGGCAATTGTGAATGGGATTGCTTTTCTGATTTGGTTCTCAGTTTGGTTATTGTTGGTATATAGGAATGCTAGCAATTTTTGTATATTGATTTTGTAGCCCGCAAGTTTGCTGAAGTTATCAGCTGACGAAGCTTTTGGGCCAAGAATATGGGGTTTTCTAGATATAGAATCATGTCGTCTGCAAACAGAGATAGTTTGACTTCCTCTCTTCCTATTTGGATGTCCTTTATTTCTTTCTCTTGCCTGATTGCTCTGGCTAGGACTTCCCATACTATGTTGAATATAAGTGGTGAGAGAGGACATCCTTGTCTTGTGCTGGTTTTCAAGGGGAATGTTTCCAGCTTTTACCCATTCAGAATGATATTGGCTGTGGGTTTGTCATTAATGGCTCTTATTATTTTGAGGTATATTCCTTCAGTACCTAGTTTATTGAGAGTTTTTAACATGAAGGGATATTGAATTTTCTCAAAAGCCATTTCTGCGTCTATTGAGATAATCATGTGTTTTTTGTCTTTAGTTCTGTTTATGTGATGAATCACATTCATTGATTTTTGTATGTTGAACCATCCTTGTATCCCAGGGATGAAGCCTCCTTAATCACAGTGGATTAGCTTTTTGATGTGCTGCTGGATTCTGTTTGCAAGTATTTTGTTGAGGATTTTTGCATTGATGTTCATCAAGAATATTGGCCTGAAGTTTTATTTTTTTGTTGTGTCTCTGCCAGGTTTTGGTATCAAGATGATGCTGGCCTCATAGAATGAGCTAGGGAGAAGCCCCTATGCCTCAATTTTCTGGAATAGTTTCTGTAGGAATGATACCAACTCTTATTTGTACATCTGGTAGAATTCAGCTGCAAATCCATCAGGTCCTGGGCTTTTTTGGGTTGGTAGGCTATTATTACTGATTCAATTTTGGAGCTCCTTATTGTTCTGTTCAGGGAATTAATTTCTTCCTGGCTCAGTCTTAGGAGAGTGTAAATGTCTGGGAATTTTTCTATCTCTTATAGCTAACCAGGGAGGTGAAACATCTCTACAATGAGAATTACAAAACACTGATCAAAAGAGATCAGAGAACACAGAAACAAATAGAAAAACATCTCATGCTCATGGATAGGAAGAATCAATATTATTAATATGGCTATACTGCCCAAAGCAATTTATAGATTCAATGCTATTCCTACTAAACTACCAATGACGTTCTTCAGAAAACTAGAAAAAATACTTTAAAATTTATATGGAACCAAAAAAGGGACTGAATTGCCAAGGCAACCCTAAGCAAAAAGAACAAAGCTAGAGGAATCACATTACCCAACTTCAAACTATACTATAAGGCTACAGTGACAAAAACAGCACGGTACTGTTACTAAAACAGGCACATAGATCAGTGGAACAGAACAGAGAGCCCAGAAATAAGGCTGCACATCTATGACCATGTGATCTTTGACAAAGTTGACAAAAACAAACAAGGGGGAAAGGACTCTCTATTAAATAAATGGTGCTGGGATAATTGGCTAGCAATATGCAGAAGATTGAAGCTGGATCCCTTCCTTACACCATATACAAAAATCAACTCAAAATGGATTAAGGACTTAAATGTAAAAAAAAAAAAAAAAAAAAAAAAAGACTTAAATGTAAAACTGAAAATTATAAAAACCCTGAAAGACAACCTAGGAAATACCATCTTGGACATGGGAATGGGCAAAGATTTCATGAGAAAGACACCAAAAGCCATCACAACAAAAGCAAAAATTGGCAAATGGGATCTAATTAAACTTAAGAGCTTCTGCACAGCAAACCATCAACAGGGTAAACAGACAACCTACAGAACGGGATAAAATATTTGCAAACTATGCATCCATCAAAGGTCTATAAGGAACTTAAACAAATTTACAAGAGAAAAACAAACAACCCCATTAAAAAGCGGGCAAAGGTCAGTCGGGCACGGTGGCTCAAGCCTGTAATCCCAGCACTTTGGGAGGCCGAGGCGGGCAGATCACGAGGTCAGGAGATCAAGACCATCCTGGCTAACACGTGAAACCCCGTCTCTACTAAAAATACAAAAAAAATTAGCCAGGTGTGGCGGCGTGCGCCTGTAGTCCCAGCTGCTGGGGAGGCTGAGGCAGCAGAATGGCGTGAACCCAGGAGGCGGAGCTTGCAGTGAGCCGAGATGGCGCCACTGCACTCCAGCCTGGGTGACAGAGCAAGACTCCGTCTCAAAAAAAAAAAAAAAAAAAAAAAAGTGGGCAAAGGGCATGAACAGACATGAACACATGGACAGGTCTCAAAAGAAGACATACATGCGGCCAACAAGTATGGGCAAAAAAGCTGAATATCATCACTGATCATTAGAAGAATGCAAATCAAAACCACAATGAGATACCATCTCACACCAGTCAGAATGGCTATTACTAAAAAGTCAAAAAATAACACATGCTGGTGAGGTTGCGGAGAAAAGGAACCCTTATATACTGTTGGTGGGAGTGTAAATTAGTTCAACCATTGTGGAAAGCAGTATGGCGATTCCTCAAAGAGCTAAAAGCAGAACTACCATTTGATCCCACTACCGAGAATATAGCTAGAGCAATGTATAGCATTCTACCATAAAGACACATGCACACAAATGTTTATTGCAGCACTGCTCACAATAGCAAACACATGGAAACAACCTAAATGCCCATCAATGATAGAGTGGATAAAGAAAATGTGGTACATATGCACCATGGAATATTATGCAGTCAAAAAAAGAATGAGATCATGTCTTTTGCAGGAACATGGATGGAGCTGGAGGCCATCATCCTTAGCAAGGTAATGCAGGAATGGAAAACCAAATCCGCATGTTCTCACTTATAGGTAGGAGCTAAATGATAAGAACTTATGAAGACAAAGAAGGAAACAACAGACACTGCGGTCTACCTGGGGGGGAGGGGGGAGGGGGGAGGAGGGGGAGGGGGGGAGGAGGGGGAGGAGCAGAAAAGATCGCTATTGAATACTGAGCTTAATACCTGGGTGATGTGATAATATGTACAACAAACCCCTGTGAAATGTGTTTATGTATGTAACAAACCTTCACATGTACCCCCAACCCTAAAATAAAAAAAAATTTTAAACCGTCCTTGAAAAAGAAAAAGAAATCGCCTGTAGTTTCAGGTACTCTGGAGACTCAGGTGGGAGGACTGTTTGAACCCAGGTGGTTGAGGCTGCAGCGAGCCATGATTGTGCTGTTGCACTCCTGCCTGGGCAACAGAGCAAGACCCTGTCTCAAAAGAAAAAAAAAAAAAAGACTATGACTCCAAGGTTTTGATTTCTGCTCCAGAATCTCAATCTCACACCTCAGGAGGAGCATGGACCACCCTACTTTGACTTTCTCCTCCTTCCAGTGCACCCTCCCCACCAGCCAATGGAGATAAACCTTTCTGAGGAAAACATTATCCTGGGGAATAATGAGTTGGTAAGCTGGTGATTAATGAAGTTGAGAAACTACAAAGCCATTATTAAAAAGGTGAACATCAGTCTGTTATTGAGGACAATCCCCTTTCAGGTCTGTAGTCCTGGCATCTAATTAATGGAACCAAAGCTTTTGGAAGTTCACTTTATAAAAGATGAAACAGTTGCCATTATTGTGAATACTGGTGTACTCCGTTTAAAAGTGCAATATTGAAGGTAGAACTCTTTGTGCAGCAACGATACAAGGGTGCGATTTGGGGAGCACAGCACTGTGATAAAAACAATGTTCTTGGCAAGGAAGTCTTTAGTAAATCCCAAGAAGATTCAGCAGGATGTCGTTGGAACCGGATGTGGTGTACACACAACTCACAAGTCCATCCAAACAGGCTGGGATAGTCTACCAATTCAGATAAAGTGTGAGGTGTTTTTTTAGGTGGTATATATGCAAATAAACTAAATTATTTTTTTGTAACAGCTGATTTAGTATAATAAAATATTTAGTTATGGTAGTATGTATGCACTTTCTGCAAGTGTTTTTGAAAATAGCTGTTGAGCACTTTCTGCGAGTGTTTTTGAAAATAGCTATTGAATAGAATCGCTATTCAATATTTGGTCTACCAAAATACTAAAACAAATCATACTCAGAATTATACTCCTCTCCAAATCATCCTTACTTGAACAATATATGTGGCTGGGAACCTGACTGTGGCTCCAGGGGCGCAGGTGTGTGAGATGCGAGGTACTGCTGAAGCCCGGAAACCCGCGGGGCTTTTCTACACCTTTCCAGGAGCAGCCGCTGGAGATCCTGCCTCTCCAAGAGAACCTGGCTAACCCCCACACTTAGGTCAGAAGAAATGTGTGATGGGAAACCAGCCCTCTCTGGGAGTGTGAAGGTAAAGACGGTCCTATATTTCAGTTCCAGTGGGGCTGCAGGGTCTTTTGCTATCGGTGTGCTATGTATGCAGGTCTTGCTAGAGACTGAGAACCTCTAAAAGTCATTGCGCAGAGGGAACGCGGATTTACCCGGCATGGTCTTTGGAAATCAGTGTGCTGTGGAAGCAGGTCTTGCTAGAGCCAAGAAACCTCTAAAAGCCACTATTCAGGGGGCACCCGGATTTGAACCGGGGACCTCTTGATCTGCAGTCAAATGCTCTACCGCTAAGCTATACCCCCGTCACACGGGAGGAAAGCGTCACTCACGTCTTCGTAGTCAGCCGCACGCAAGCCGCGTACAGCACTGCAGGGTCCGCGCTTTGGGCGGCGCTTTTCTCCGGCGGCCAGTTCGGACCTTTGCGCTTTTACCGTCACACTCCAACGCACTTTCTTCCCCGAGTTTGGGAAGAAACCCCGGGGTGACAGCCCCGGCTCACGGCGTTTACTCCTTCGGCCGCCGTCACCTCGAACCTTTTCTTTATCCGTCCCTTTTGGGCTCTTTCCCTTTTTGCTCTCATCTTTATTCTCCACCTCTGTCCTCTTCCCAAGATCCTCTGACGTCACTCATGGCCCTTCCCCACACCAATTCTTCTCCCCGCAAACCACGAAGACCTTCTTAGGCCTTTATCTGATGCAAGCATTGTCTTTTTCAACTAACTGCTTATCTGCGATGAAAATGGAGGGCCCGGAGCAGTGAAGAAAAGGTAGGCCATTTATTTCCTAAAGCAAAATAGGAGATGGAGGCCAAGAAAACCAAAAAGTGACAGCAGCGGGAGAGAGCCTGCCCCACTACACATCAGCATCTGCCAGGACACAAGAATGGACTCGGTGCGGGGACAGAACACCTGGAACGCAGACCTGGGAGCACACCATAGTCCACGCACGAACTGAATGAAAGAGCGTCACTCACTTTTACAGAGCAGTTGTGTTCACAGCGACTCCGTAAGGCTGGCGCTATGACTGGTGTCCCAATTTTACAAATGAGAAAGCTGAGACACCAGGCGCTATGACTGGTGTCCCAATTTTACAAATGAGAAAAATGAGAAACGTTGAAAAAGCTGTCCAACGTCAAATGGTTGGTAAGTGGAAATGCAGACTTAAGTGGTCTGGCAACAGAGTCCATACACTCAACCACCGTGTTTTACACATCACAAATTCATAGGGGAAAGGAAGCGTCATTTACATATATTCTACTGGGAGACTTAGTTGGCCATTTGGGAAAATTAAAGTGGCAACTAAACTTCATATTATATACCAAAATAAAGTCCAAGTGGATTAAATTATTACATATAAAATATCAAATAAAAGCATAAGACAGTATAAATTGCATCTAACTGATTTCTGAAGGACTTTCTAATACACAATGGAACAAATCCCAACAGAAAATACCAATAGATTCGGCTATATAAACATTAAAGGTTCAGGTATGTAAACAAAATCAAAAGGTTAATACCAAGTTGGGAAAATATTTCTGTCATGTAGGACAGTCAAAATATTACAAATTAATATCCTTAATAAGTAAAGAGCCCACATGTAATAGCAAAGGCCATCAAAAGACAATTCACAAAAGGAAATAGTATAATAGTAGTTGATAGAAAAGTATAAGTGTTAGTAAGTCAAAATAAATCTTAGTAAAACCAAAGACATGCAAATGAAAACAACACCATTTAACATTTTTCCTGTATTGAAATGGACAAAAATTAAAGTAGCAATCCTCATACTGGCAAGGGTATGGTAAGTCCATACTATTTTAGGCCTGTAAACTGGTACAATTTTTTATTTTTATTTTTATTTTTTGAGATGGAGTCTTGCTCTATCGCCCAGGCTAGAGCGCAGTGTCGCAGTCTTGGCTTATTGCAACCTCCACCACCTGGGTTGCAGTGAGCTGAGATCCTCAGCCTCAGCCTCCCAAAGTAGCTGGGATTACAGGTGCCCGCCACCATGCCCGGCGAATTTTTGTATTTTAGTGGAGAAAGGGTTTCACCATGTTGGCCAGGCTGGTCTCCAACTCTTGACCTCAAGCAATCCACCTGTTTTGGCCTCCCAAAGTTCTGGGATTACAGGCCTGAGCCACCATGCCTGGGCTTGGTATAATCTCTCTCGAGAGGAAAGGCAGTATAAAATAAGAGATAAGTTCAAACAATTCCCTTTGACCTAGTAGTAATTCTGTTTCTATGAACCCAGCCCAGAAAAAGCGTGAAACATGAACAAATGTTGGCTCAAAGATATTTAAGTGCTCTTAAGTGTTATTTAAAATATTTAAGCAAATAGATGGCAGGGCGCAGTGGCTCATGCCTGTAATCCCAGCACTTTGGGAGGCCGAGGCGGCTAGATCACCTGAGGTCGGGAGTTTGACACCAGCCTGACCAATATGGTGAAACCCCCGTCTCTACTAAAAATACAAACATTAGCCGGCCTGTGGTGGTGCGTGCCTGTGATCCCAGCTACTCAGGAGGCTGAGGTGGGAGAATAGCTTGAACCCGGGAGGCAGAGGTTGCAGTGAGCCAAGATTGCACCACTGCACTCTAGCCTGGGCCACAGAGGAAGACCCTGTCTCAAAAAATAATAATAATAATAATAATAATAATAATTAAACAAATAGAAGCAGAAATGCCTAATATTAGAGAGGTGGTTAAGAAACTGGCATATCTACATGATAGAAAACTAGCTATTTAAAATGTTTGATATAATTCACAAGAAAATGTGAATTACATCTTAAGTCAGTGGTTCTCGATTCTGACTACCTTAGAATCACCTAGGGAGGTTTTAAAAGTACTAATGCAGGTACGAGGGGGCAGATCAGTTGAATCAGAATATCTAGAGTGATACCCAGACACTGATAGTTTGTGCTGTCAGGGGATTCCAGTGTGCAGCCACGGTTGGGAATCACGATGTTAAATGAGAGTGGGTATTATCTCAAAGGTAAAAATAAGTAGAATCAACCAAACAAAAAGGTAAAAAGAAATATTTTGAGATCCTAATATCTCCTAGCTCCATGGTGAGATTGTTAGTGACTATTTCTTCTTTATACTTTTTGGTATTTTCAGTAATTGTTTTATTTTCCTAAACCACTAAGAAATTATTTTTTAAGTTTAAGGGCCCCCAGAAGCACCTCAATTCAAATTGGAAGCTCTTAATCTATAGTTAAATGCCCTATTTAGGGCCATAGCCCCTTCTTGTGCCCTCCCTCCCATCCAGCCACTCCCAGGACTCAGTCAAACAAGCATCAGTGCGTGGAACTGGCACAGGTCCTCTCCGTGGCCTTCTAGGAAGCCACCTACCTGTCAGCTTCCTGGATCACCCACCTAAGGGCATCTCAGTTCGGTGAGGATGCCCTTCACGTGCACTGTTTGCTCCAGGGCACACATGTGAAGACTAAAGCATGAATATAGGGGTTATGGGTGATTTCAGAATGTTTTTCTTTATATTCCTCTATATTCTTCACATTTTCTGCAATAAAATGTATCACTTTGAAAATCAGAAAAACCCATAAATATTACAAATTTAAGCATATCTCTTCTAGTAATTACAAGCAATATCATTTCCTTTTGACATAATTAGTACGTAATTGCCTAGATAAGACAAAAAAGACTCCAAGGAATGCTAATTTGGGAAATAAGTGCATTATAATTTACACATAACGTACTCATTCAAGTGCCTTTTTTTTTTTTTTTTTTTTTAAAGAACCAAGGTCTTGCCCCGTTGCTCAGGAATGCAGTGGCGTGATCATGGCTCACTGTAACCTCAAACTCCTAGGCTCAAGCGACCCTCCCATCTCAGCCTCTCAAGTAGCTGGGACTACAGGCCTGCTGCACCACCACATCATCTGGATTTGTTGTTGTTGTTGTTGGAGACAGGGTCTCGCTCTGTTGACCAGGCTGGTCTTGAACTCCTGGGCTCAAGCAGTCCTCCTGCCTCAGTCTCCCAAAGTGCCAGGATTACAGGTGTGAGCCACCATGCCTGGCCTCATTTATGCTTCTATAGGAATAATTAATTCCATTTTGCACATGAGGACACAGCCTCAGAAAATTTCCAAGGAACTCAATTTCAAGACCTCTCTGTCCAAGTCCAGGGCTGTTTCCACAATACTATATTTTTTCCATCTTTTCTAGTAAAGGTTGGATAACTGGAAGAACAGAGAGCTGAACACTGGGATCTGAAAGAGTTACCACCTCATTCCCAGTCCTGCCCTCTCCATGTGAGGACGGGTGAATCTGAGATAGAAATAATGGCTCATGTGTGCTGAGTGTTTATGTTGGAGGCTCATATACACTATCCTACAGAATCCTCATAGCTGTCTGAGGCAGGTACAATTGTTATATCCTAGGAAATAGTTAAGACTGCTCCCATTTTATAGCTGAAGAAACAGATTCAGGGGGACTAAGTGACTCATTCAGTCATTTAACAAATACACTACGTTCCAGGGTCTAGTCTAGGCACTGAGGACTCAGCAGTGAACGAGGCCAAGAAACACAGCCCTGGCCCCATGGAGCTATATTCCCAGAGGTGCAGTGTGACAGACAAGCAAACTAATGCATGAATGAAAACATCACAGATATTGAAAACACTACAGGAAAATAAAGCATGGTATTCTGATGGAAGACAACAGGGATGGTCAGGAAACGATGATTGGAGCTGAAATCCGAATGATAAGAAGCCAGTGAGGAAAAATCTGGATGCATGTCCGGGCTCACACCTGCAATCCCAGCACTGTGGGAGGCTGAGGTGGGCAGATTGCTTGAGCACAGGAGTTCAAGACCATTCCTGGGCAACATAACGAAAACTCATTTGTACAAAAGATTTTTTAAAAAATTAGCCAGGCGTGGTGGCATGCACCTGTAGTCTCAGCTACTTGGGAAGCTGAGGCCAGAGGATCAGTTGAGCCTGGAGAGTCGAGGCTGCAGTGCCACTGCACTCCAGTCTAGGTGACAGAATGAGACCCTGTCTCAAAAAATAAGTAGATAAAAATAACTAAAATTCTGGATGCAGTGGATCCCAGGCCTTGGGTAGAGTGACCCACTTGGAAGTGGCTTGGCAGGATGAAGCAAGAATGAGGCCAGTGTGGGGCAGCAGAGGGGGCAGAGCAGGACAGTGATTTGAGGTGGAGGTGAGGTGGGGTCAGGCCACAGAGGGCCCTGTGAGCTGGGTCAGGAGGTGGCATTTATTTACTGTGCCATCCCAGGGAGAGTGGAGCCTGGATTTGGATCTCCCTCCCATGTGCAGGGGCCACATCTCTGAGCCCTTCCTCAGAGACTCTGTGCTGGGCTTGGCACAGGTCTTCATCACCTCGGGCCTGTCCTGTGGAGACAGGCTTCCCAGGTCAGTCTGTAAGCCTCCTCGGCCATGCAATTAAGGTTCTTGTTCATCCAGCCGACCTGGTTTCTGCCCCTGAGGAGCAGATTTAGGTAGAGGAGGCACACATGAACATCCACTGTCACTCGGTGTCACTTCAATGATAACTGTCTTAAGCTCTGTGAACCTAGAAAGGGGAAGGGGGAGAGTGGGCACCACAGTTACCCTAAGCTGGGGTGTTCCAGAGGCCTTTTCTGAGGGAGTGACATTTCCACAACACCGTGCAGGAGGAAGGAACGTTAGTTGGGAGATGAGCAGCCCAGGAAGTTGGGCGGCATGGGTGAAGCCTGAGGCAGTGGGGTGCCAAGAGCAGAGAGAAGGTCAGGGTGCTGGAGTCTGGGAGGCAGCCTGTGTGGACTGAGTAGGGTCTTCCCAAAGTTCATGTCCTTCCAAGAACCTCAGGAGGTGACCTTCTTTGGAAATAGGGTCATTGCCAATGTAATAGTTAATTAAGACCAGGTCATCCTGGCGCAGGGTGGGCACTCAGTGCAATATGACTGTTATCCTCATCAGAAGAGAGGAGACAAAGGGAGCAGGCCAAGTGCCCGCTGGCGCACTGCATCCAATGCTGAAGCCAGGAGAGAGGCATGGGACGGTGTCCCTCAGAGCCTCCAGTAAGAACCAAGCCAGACCACACATTGATCTTGGACCTCTGGCCTCCAGAACTGCAAGAATCCATTTCTGTTGTTTAAAGCCAACCAGTTTGTGGCACTTTGTTACAGCAACCCCGGACAGGGCCGAGAAGGCAGGCAGGGCCTAGTGGGTCCTGAAAGATTTTGGACCTTACCCTAAGAGCAATGGGGAACCTCCCAAGCAAGAGAGGACTATGATCAAATTTGCCTTTTCAAAAGATTCCCTGGCCGCCCAGTGCTCCCACAGCATTCAAATCCGTTAAGAGTGAGGCCCCACAATAGGACAGAGGCCCTGCCGCCTGCACATCACTCACACGGAGGCACACGTCACTCAAATACACCGGGTGCTTGCCAGCCTTCCCACCGGCCCACAGAGCGGGGCTTCCTTGCCTGCTCCCCACACAGAACTAGGGGAGACGGCCGACCTGCGGGAGGATCGTCTGGCCCTATGCCTCAAACGCCTTAGAAAACGCTCGTACCCTGGACCAGGCAGTTCCACTCCAGGAGGTTAGTCTTTGCATGGCATTTGTTTTATTAGGGGGCCACCGCAGCCTGGGCTAAAGAATTTAGTCTTCGGAAAAAACTAGGCAGACATTTGAAAATATATCAAGGAAAAAAAGTGCAGGCCGGGCGCTGTGGCTCACGCCTGTAATCCCAGCACTTTGGGAGGCCGAGGCGGGCGGATGACGAGGTCAGGAGATCGAGACCAGCCTGGCTAACACGGTGAAACCCCGTCTCTACTAAAAATATAAAAAATTAGCCAGGCGTGGTGGCGGGCGCCTGTAGTCCCAGCTACTCGAGAGGCTGAGGCAGGAGAACGGCGTGAACCCGGGAGGCAGAGTTTGCAGTGAGCCGAGATCCTGCCACCGCACTCCAGCTTGGGCGACAGAGCGAGACTCCGTCTCAAAAAAAAAAAAAAAAAAAAGTGCAGCCTATCATGAGAGAGCGCCTCCAGGTCCACCTCCGCATGGGACAAACACAGCGAGCGGCCAGGAGCTGGGCCTCAGCCTTGGTTTCCTCATCTGCACAACGAGAAAAGTGGGTAGAATGCAGGCTGCCCGGGAAGAAGCTTGAGCAACCCTAAAGCTCGGGGTCAATTCACGGAGTCCCCTCTCCTTCTGGGACCCAAGGCCCTCCGGGTCTTCTGTGCTGTTTTGTGCCGTGGGTTGAGCCTTCGAGGTGGGGTAGGTCTCATATTTCCTGTGCTCTCAGATTCCTGCGGCCGCACCTTTGTTTGCACTAACTGTGTTTGCACCAACTGTGTTTGCACGGGGATTTGCTGGGGCCTTGGCCGGCAGGCCAGTGTGTGCAAGAAAAGCAACCTGACAGCGGCTCCTGCTAACCAGGGCTGGTTCGGGGCTGCGGCCGGGCGGCTCCCGCACTGCGACTAAGGGCCAGCCGGCTGGCAGGCGGGGCTGGGGCTCGGATGTCGGGACTAGCGGGTCTCTGGCGCGAGGCGGCCGCCACCACCGAGAAGGCCGCGCGCATTCCTAGAGCGGCCGCCAGCGGCCAGGTGAGGGCGCCGCGGCCTCCGGGGCCTCCTCGCCTCTGGCCGGCAGGGGGCAGCGCGCGGCCCCGCGCGGCCCGACGTGGCGCTGGCCCGGGAGGCAGCCCGTGGGCCGCCGGCGCGCCCTGCCGGGCACCCAGCAGCGCGCTCCCGTTCTCATCAGACGGGAGAAAAAACGCCCAGGCAGAGGAACGTCTAAAAGTCAAGTCATCAAAATTAATGTAATCGAGAAAATGTGCATATTTAAAATATGGATAGAGACGCATAAATACATCTTTAAAATAAAAATATAATCGTTTGTGTTAAGTCCTTGCTCCATTGGCTCTCAGCTGCACTCACAGCACCAGTGAGACCGACACGGTTGTGCCCCATCCCACAGGCGCCAAATGGAGGGCGCAGGGTTTTAGGAGCTCGCGTAGGGCCTCTCGGGCGGCAGCAATGGAGCCGCGAGGCCGGCGGGGAGACCGAGGACGGGACCCGCTGAGCTCTGGGTGAGCTGGGGGGACTCGAGGGGACCTGGATGGGCCAGAGGCCTGGCTTGGGGAAGGGCCCCTTCCCGGTTCCCCAAGGTCCCGGTGTGCCGCTGCCGTAGGGAAGCAGGAAGGCACGGCCGCGCCAGGCGACCTGAACGAGAGGAAGCCCGGGGTCGCCGCCCGCGGGCGCGGCTGGTGTTCATACCCAGCCAGGAAGGGCGGGCGGGCCTCGGGTGCCACGCGGCGTGCCCGGCGCTTTCCCCGCAGTCCCGCTTGCTGCCCGTCCCTGGACTCCTTATCAGGCAGCTGGGTGACCTTGCTGCAAAGGGCAGGGCCGTGGAGCAGGATTTCTGCCGCACACCAGCCACCTGCAACGGTGGTAAGAGGATTTGGCAGTGATCCGGGTACTCTACCTAATATTGGGGCTGAAATATCAGAAGGAATGATAAAATCCATTTTTAAGTGATAGCGTTTAAAGGTGTTGGATCAGGTTTAATGAAGAAAATCATCTCCATCCCAGCTGGGCAGAGATTTGGGATTGTACCCGTGTTTCTTCCCGCACATTGTCACCTGTGGCTTGTTCATCCGTTCATTTCGCGTGCACTGAGGACCTCTGAGGACCTTGCGCCAGACTCTGGAGCAAGCGCGAAATGAACAAAAGCCGGCCCTGCCCTTGGGAAAAATCAAACACACAATGGCCGCTGAGTGCACGCTCCGAGCACGCGCCAAGCCCTGGAAAGCCCGGTAGAGGGGACCCTCCAACCTCCCGCAGTGATGCGTGTGTGGCCAGGGGTCTTGCTAGGCTGCACCTTGCACCTGAATCTCCCGTTGCCTTCACCGTGGAAGCGTTTGCTGTAAAAATAACATGGGGGTTGGGGCGGGGGAGACGTCTTTGTAGCTTTCTCACAGGGCTTAAGACATCTGTCCTGCTATCTTCCCCGGCCTTCCAGGGATTCTCAGTGGATGTTAGCTCTCTGGATTTCACTGGCAAGGTTATAGAGACTTACCATTTTCTGATATGAACATCTGCCAAGTAACGCATAGAGAATAGGAAAGCATGCATATCCCACAAGGAAAAAAAATAAAACTAAGAAACTGTTCTATCAAAGAATTAAGTAAGCATGGAGTGTGTCACTGGATAAATTAAACATACAGAGTTTGGATTGAGGCTAGGAAAGGTTGAAGCAAGAGAAAAGGAGCCCTGGTGACTTGCCCAGGGCAGAGGTTTTTGAAGTGAGCTTCCTCCTTGGAGACCCCTCAGCGCAGGGGGAGTTTGGGAAGACGGGGGCGCCAGAGCAGGTAGGCTTGGCTCCCTCTCCAGCCTCTTAAGGCACGAGTTATTTTACATATTTAGCTTCTGAAAATTGTTTTATTTAAACAAGGGATTCCGGAGGCTACAAACGAAAGCTTGAAAACACTGACAGATGAAGTGCAAAAAATTTGGCTGACCATTATAAATTTGATAAAGATTTCATGTCCTGAATCTGAAAGAGATTCTAAAATATATTACAGATTTAGTTCTACAGAGAAGGGATGAACTCTTCCAAGTAATTTCACAGGTGGAGATGGTTAGAAGTCCTCATACTGGGTGGTTAAAATTGATTTCTTCCATAGTTATGGAAAAGACTTGATACCTTCTCTTGGAGAAATAAGGGACTCATTCAATTGTAAGTTTTTATTGTTTAGAACATAGAAATTCCTTCTACAACCAGAAAAAAACGCTATTTTCATTTGGGGGCAAAGAATTTTAAATAAGATTCTGGAATTCTGTTATGTGATTACTACATACTAATAAGAGTTCATCTTTTTGGTAAAATGAACACCCAAGCATGTTTGTATGCAATTAACGTTTGTTTCAAGACTCTGAAGAGCTGGCAACAATTTGGGCAAGGAAAATGTGTCTATTTCTCTCAATTTGTCTACTGTATGAATTAAACACACCAGAGACTGGCTTAAATTGGTCTGAATATTGACTTGCTTTTTTAGCAGCACTCTGAAACATTTGAGGTTTTTTTTTTTTCCCAAACTTATTTCAGAATGCATCACTGGATAAATTGGCTTGGTAAGGCATTGATTAATTCAAGACACAGTAAGGAACCACTGGGTTAAAGTGGGAAAGAAATAATACAAATTTTAGTTGGACAGTCATTATTATTAAATTGTTCAGGGGGTAACTATGGGAACCAACTTAGTGTCTTTACTTTTTGACAAAATTAATGTGATTTATAGTGATGACTATCATCCAAATCGAAAAATATATACAGAATTTTTTTTAAGAGACAGATTCTCACTATGTTGCTCAGGGTGGTCTCAAACTCCTGGGCTCAAGCGATCCTCCTCCTTAGACCTCCCGAAGTGCTGGGATTACAGGTGTGAACCACCACACCTAGCAGAAATTTTTTTGTATACGCCAGACGCGGTGGTTCACACCTATAATCCCAGCACTTTGGGAGGCCTATGGAGGATTGCTTGAGTCCAGGAGTTTGGGACCAGCCTAGACAACGTAGTGAGATGAGACCATGTCTCTACTAAAAATAAGAAAATTAGGCTTGGTGGCTCATGCCTGTGGTCCCAGCTACTCAGGAGGCTGAGGCGGGAGGATCACCTGAATGTGGGAGGTCCAGGCTGTAGTGAGCCATGATGTCACCATCGTACTCCAGCCTGAGACAGAGCAAGACCCTGTCTCAAAAATAAATAAATAAATTTTTTTAATCTTAAATTTTAGAATTTGCATAATTTACCTGCAGCAAATTTGATCATGGGACCATGTAGTTCTTGGCTGGTACCTTCTGTGGAAAAATGGCAAGTTTCACCTTTCATACTTGTTTACTTTTCTTAATTGAGTTTAGCTTAAATCCAAGCTATTTCAATCCTTTGAGGGCATAATTTGATTATTTGTGTATCAGGTAAATGAAGAGCTGATTGCATTTAATTTTTAAAAAGATTTTATACTTATTAGACTATACTGATTTTAAGAAGAAACAGTCTGTTGTCCTGATAATCATTCTTTAAATAAAATTACCAGCAGGGATAGACATTTTCACTGATACATTTTGTCATTAAAATTCAACTTTCCATTACCTGAATTAATAGACAGCAGTGATGCTCCTGTCTTATAATACTTGAGTTATTTTGAGATATTATTTTACAAAGAGAAGCAGTGAGTTTCATTCATGCGGTAGTGGCGGGGAGGGAATGGTGAGAACTTAGAGGTAGCACTGAGCCGGCAGGATTAGAGTCAAGGGTGTATTTTGTGTTATTAGGGAGCAGGTATTTCTTCCTTATAATAATCTCCTTCATGCAACTACTCCTCTGACTGATAAACAAATGGCTTCTTAGGTCCCAACGTCAGAAATAAACAGAGAAAGGTGGCCTCTTGCCATAACAGTGCTCTCCCCAAAGTCCCTAAGGTATAGAGGACTCAGTCTAAAACGGGGGCTGGATTGGTGTTCTAACCACCAGTGTGCCCAGGAACACCTATTCTACCCTGGTCAGGTGAACCTCAGGACGTCTCCCAATGTCGCCTGGGCTTGGCTGGCCAGGCAGCCAGGGAACTGTGCTTTCAGGCAGGTCCAGACTCACATGCTGTGCCCATAGACAGTGAGAGCTGCAAATCAAAGAGAAATAGTCATGTTTTGCCCTTTTTATTAAGGATCCATGTTGAAATTGGGAGGCAGTATGTAACAGTGGTTAATAGCACACAGCTGGGGTTCCCACCCACTTAGGTTTAAATTCTGGCCGTGTGACCTTGGCTGCTGATGGCTGAACCTCTCTGAACTTCATCTGTTCAAGGGGACACAGATACCAATTTCACAGGTTGTTGCAAGATAAAATGAAAGGAAAGCGTTTATGATCTGGCACAGTGACTGCAACATGGTAAAACTCAATGAATTGTAGTGATTTTAGTTATTATCCTTAATAAACTTATGGCTAGTTCTGACTTCTGAACAGAACTTTTCATGTAAGGTTGCGATCAATAGTACTATGTTTAATGTTTTCTTTTCTTTCTTTCTATCCTGGTCTTTTCCCCTTTTTTCCTTCCTTTCACCTTCCTTTTCTTTCTTTTTTTTAGAGAAATCATTTAACCTGGAGCTGTCCTTTGTAGAAAACAGAAATAAAAGGGCTAAAGTCTATATTTTAACTAAAATTCCTCATTTCAAGGAAACCAACTAGAAATGGTAGATGCAAAGTTGATTTTTTTTTTTTTTTTTTTTTACAAATTGTCATCTAGAAGTTGCCAGTATGACTGGGAAGCAACAAGAGGCTTCAGCAGCAGTAATGCTTTCCAGAGCGCTGGAGGAGAGGCCCTGGCCTGACTCAATGTTGCCCTGGCAACAGTAGGGCCTGGAGGGCCTCTGTCCCTGATCCCTTAATCTGAGGAGCTGCCACCACAGTGCTTCAGGAAAGGTCTCCCACAGACACCTGGCTGGTTCAGGCTACATCCACTGAAGAGGAATGAAGAAAAGCTGGGGATGCGGTCCTTTATCAGAGACAGCCGCCTAAAGGCCTCTCTGATGGTCCCAGCTTTCCAGATCCCCAGAGGCTTAACCAGGCTGCCAGTCTCCACCAGATGCTAAGTGCTGTCTAGGCAGCCAGGGATTCCTAATCCTCTTGTGTTTCTCCACAGAGCCCAGCACAATTCTTTGCACACAAGTGGTGATTAATAAATACTGGGGGGGGGGTGCAGGGCTGTAAGACAGTGAGCATCCCCTCGGCACCAGCCCTGCCTGTCCCACCTGTGACCTTGGAGGACCCAACTCCTCTCCTCTTCATTTCTCAGCTATAAAATGCTAGGGCTCAGCGCTAAGGGTTTTTTCCTGCCTCAAACATTCTTTTTTATCCTCTTACTGTGTTCATCATTTTGGCAAATGCACAGAGCATGTTCTGTTTAATATATTTTGTTTCCCCCAATTTTATCTTCAGTCAAAAAATCCGGAGGCAAAATGGAATAATTTAAAAGAGGTGCTGGCTTTTCTTTTTTCAACAACGATACTGGCCCCAGGAAAACAACTTTTTGGCCAAGCACATGGGCTTTGGAGTCAAAGAACTGAGTTCAAATCCTGGCTCTACTATTTGGTTGCTGTGTGACTTTGGGCCTACTTAACCTCCCTGAGCCTGGAGCTTTCCACCTATAAAATGGGTGTAATGAAACATACATCAGAGTTATGAAGGGATGTATGTAAAGTCTTCCAAAGTAAGAAGCTCTCAATAAATGGTAGTTATTCCTTCTGCTACACAGCTTTATGGGGCCAACAGCAACAGGCAACTTAGGAGTTCACAAGTCTAATTAAATTAAGGGCACCCAAGAAAAGCACTGTGAAAGAGGACCAGAAAACTCAGCGAGGTGGGGTACTACCTCCTGCAAACTCTGGAGTGTGGCCAAGGGGTGAACTGAAACCCTGTCCACTCCTAGATAAGGACCATGATATAGTTGTGGTTTAATTTGTACTTTCTCACACCAAAATAATCTACATTTGCCTACTGAAATTTCCTTCTCAAAGATTCATTCTTTTAGGATATAACACTAGCCCACTACCAACTTGAACTTCTGTTTGAAATTAGTAATCTCTTATTGAGACCTTAGTATCTGCCAGTGTCTTTGCTATGTATCTATTGTGATTTAAGCCTCAGAACAATGGGAACTTTATTATCCCTATTTGACAGATGAGGAAATTGATGTTCTGTTAATTAACTTGTTCAAGGCCATACAACTATGAAGTTTAAAGCCACGTCTTTTTGACACCAAAGGCTATCTACACTTTAGGAACCAATAGCAGAGATTAGGGCAAATGGAAAGTGAGATTCAAGATGGTGGCAAGAAGTCAGAACAAGGGGAGAGACGATGGGGGGCACAGGGTGCTGGGCACTTAGGAAGAGGCATGAGGAGGGAGTCAGAGCCAAGGAAGGGGAGGTAGAAGTCAGGGAAGTCATGGCAGCCCAGCTACGTGTAAGATGAACCAATCTTGACATACTATGACGTGTTCTGAAAGACTTTAAATGGTATCCCAATAGACAGAGACGTAAGGATGCACGAACCAGGCTGTTCTAGTTGGTGCAATAAATTGTCAGTTAAAAGAAAAAGAAATACCAATCTTTGACTATATTTGGTTTAATCCTTTTAAAAAACAAATTTCAGATGGGAGCTATGGCTCATACCTGTAATCCCAGCACTTTGGGAGGCTGAGGTGGGAAGATGGCTTAAGGCCAGGAGTTTTGAGACCAGCCTGGGCAACACAGAAAGACTCCCCCATCTCCAAAAAAGTTAAAAAAAAAATTAGCTGGGTGTGGTGGTGCACACCTGTAGTCCCCCAGCTACTCGAGAGGCTGAGGCAGGAGGACTGCTTGAGCCTAAGAGGTTGAGGTCAGAGTGAGCCATGATGGTGCCACCACATGCCAGCCTAGGTGACAGTGCAAGACCCTGTCTCAGAAAACAAGCAAAACGAAACAAAAACCACCCAGATTTCCTAGAAAAAGAAAGCCTCTCAAGCACCATTCTCATTTGACCCCATAATGTCCTGCTAACTTCATGTAACAAATGAAGTTCCTCTCTGAGTCTCCCACATGGATTCTACCCCACAGCACCTCCGTCTCCACTCAGGGTGGATATTTCCAGCACTCTTTGGTCCTCCAATTCCAGAGCTAGTAAAAATTTAGGGCAGCAACAGCCCTCTACCAAATACCTCCCCAAATTCCTCCACTAACAACTCTTTGAGACTTCAAATATCCTCACGTTCAAAAGAACCATTTCCCCTGCCATCCCTTCAACCTCCACCCACGGGTTCTGTTATCTGCAACCCGTCCGTGGAACTGAGCTGGTTCTCCCACACCTGACTGTTAGATTTCTTTGCCTTCTACCAGATTCAGTCCCTGGATAGCTATTTGTATCATCTCTCTCTCCTACTCAGCAATCTTCAATGGTTTTTCCTACAAGATCCAATTCAAAGTCTGCAGCCTTGAAGTCTTAGATCCTTTCTGCACCCCTAGTCTACTCCAAACCAACATTTGGCCCTGTTTTTCCTAGACAGGCCCTTTCATCCAGCTGAGGTTTAATCCATCACTGCTTACATCCTGATCTTACATGCAGCCTACTCTCCACACTTTTCCTTTTATGACCACCCCCACCAAGAAAGCTTTCCTCATTTTTCTCATGTATGGAAATCCTCTCCATCCCGCAGGCCCAGCTCAGATTCCACCTCCTGGGGGAAGCTGTCCTCCTGCAGGCCCCCTCTGCCTGGCAACTGGTGAAGCTGGCTGCACACTACGGAACTACCTGCCCACGTATCTGCACCAGCCTCGCAGCTGATGCTTCAGGTCTTGGTGGAAACTGCCCCTCAGTCCTTTACACCAGCCCAGACCTCTGCTCCCTCCTCTGGCCACCATCCCTATATGTCCTATCATCGACTTAGAAATTCAGTCTAAATGGAGAAGCTTCACATGTGAGATCTTGTGCTATCAATCACTTCCCCTTTCTGTGCTTAGCTTACAAACTCTTTATACAAAGCAGAGGGAGTTGATGATCTCTATGGTCTCCTGAAAGTCAAGAGTGTATCACCTTCTTCCTCCAAATCCCCTTTTTTGAACCCCCTTCAAGTATCTTGTCACAACTTGACAGGCCTGGCTTCAGCAGTGCTCTCCTCTCAGGCCAGTCTCTCTGCTTTCAGCCCAGCTTCCCCAGTGTGCGAGGCTGAGCTGTGCACTCTGCTAGCCTCCATGAATTATCCCTTCGAATGGCCTGAATTCTCTCTGGGCCACTGCCAAACCCATCAGCAGAGTAAATCGCTCTGTGGGCAACGTAATAAATATTCCTGCAGTTTCTCTTTCTATAAGAGAGAGCTGGAGGGAGATGGGAAATGAATGAATACCTAGAGAAACCAGGGTTCGTCAGTGCGTTCAGCAAGTCCAGAGTAGCTTTGGTGCAACATTCAAATAAAAAATGTTCTGACTGGTGCCTTTTGTGGCTTCCGCAAAGACTGGCACCAGGGGCCTCTGCACCTCTTCCCTAGGCTTCCCTCCCGCCACCCTACTCCTCAGCCAGCTGCATTTCAAGCTACGCAGGAACGCCTGGGCACTGAAGGCAGCGCCCAGCTTTTGCTACAGGACCTTCTTTCCAGCTCATTCCAAACCTGACCGTCACTCTCCTTGACCACGCTAGTCAACTGGGACCTATTCAGTCCTGAGCTCCCAGCAACCTCATGGACTCCAGGGCAGACGCGATGGTCTGGGGTTCCCGTGGTCCCTTAGACGTCAGTCCTGCCTCTCCTCCTCCATTTCAGAACCGGCGGGATCAGCGTCTCCCTCACCACCCAAATGGAGAAGGAACACAAAAAAGGGTCCCAACAGAACCTGTCAACTGACACTAGCGTATGTCCCTCCGGCCTTCTCAATCCCTCCCCTTCAAACCAAACAAAAACGGCAAACAGGAAACGCTCTTCTTTTAAAAATTACTCTATTATTATCAAATAGAACCACAGTATCCAAAAGGTAATTATAAAGTTCTATCCCCAACTAGATGGGCCCTACACCGCCCCTCTGAGTGGCCGGCGGCCAAATCACGCCCCCCGTGCTGATTGGTTTCATCCATTTTATTGTCAAGGAAATTAACAGCCCGAAAGGGTTCCCCAGGTCCGCGCCCTCCCCCCTGGGGCCCCCGGGGAAACGCGGCAGCAAGGGACCTGGTCTCACTGCCCCCATGTCCTTGGGAGGAGGGACGAGAGGAGAGGGGGAGCTCACGGCAAAGGGGCTGGGGGGCGCCCCGCCCCCGCCCGCTGGGCTCGGGCCTGGCGGTGTCCGAGGGGGGGCACGGCCCGCGCACCTGGCCGGGCGGCGGCGGCGGGGCGCGCGCTCACTCGCCCGTGTGGGTCCGCAGGTGGTACTTGAGCGACTGCTTGTAGCGGAAGCACTTGGCGCAGTGCGTGCAGGGGTAGGGCCGCTCGCCCGTGTGCGCGCGCTGGTGCTCCAGCAGGTGATGCTTCTGCGTGAAGCGCTTGCCGCACTCGGCGCAGTGGTAGGGCCGCTCGCCTGTGTGGATGCGCCGGTGTTCCAGGAGGTGGTGCTTGCGGATGAAGCTCTTGCCGCACTCGGGGCAGGCGTGCGGCCGCTCGCGCGAGTGCACGCGGCAGTGGTTGGTGAGCTTGGACTTCTCGCTGAAGCTCTTCTCGCACTCGGGGCACTTGAAGGGCCGCTCGCCTGTGTGAGTCCGCTGGTGGCGCAGCAGGTGCGAGGGGCGGCTGAAGCTCTTGCCGCACAGGCTGCAGATGAAGGAGACCTCATGCTTGCCCGCGTGCACGCGCTGATGGATCACCAAGCTGATGTGCAGGCGGAAGCTCTTCTTGCACTCGGGGCACGTGTAGGGCCGCTCACCCGTGTGCGTGATCTGGTGTTTGGTCAGGCTGGACTTGTGGCTGAAGCTGCTGTCGCACTCGGGGCACTTGTAGGGCTTAGGGCCACCGCCGCCGCTACCAGAGCTGGGTGACTTGGGACGCGGCTTGAGCGCGTGCTTGGGGTTGAACGTGGGCCCGCGTTCGGGTGAGACGCAGCCTCCGCGCACGCGGTGGATGCGCTGGTGCAGCGTGAGCTGTTGCTTGTGCCGGAAGCTGATCTCGCATTCGGCGCACTCGTAGGGCCCCTCCTTGATGTGGTTGCGCTGGTGGATGATGAGGTTGATCTTCAGGCGGAAGCTCTTGCCGCACTCCATGCATGTGAAGGGCCGCTCGCCGCGCCGGTTCCGCTGCTGCTGGCTCGAGGCCCCGCGGTTCTCGCTCAGGTGCCGCTCACCGTGCACGGAGGGCGCCAGCCTTTTCACTGCGGGGTTTCCTAGCTGCAGGGGCGGGGGGCTCTCCTCGCCCTCGGGGGACATCTCCCCGGGCAGCGGGGTCTGGTACATACTGGCCTCATATCTCCCGGACAGCTGCCCAAGGGATTGCAAGTGCTGCGGCAGCTCATCCTCCTCCTCCTCTTCTTCCTCCTCGTCTTGTTCCTCTGTCTTGATCACGATCCCCTCTGCTCCAGGGACAGAGAGAGAAAGTCGTTAGCTGCTGCCTGGCGCCCCTAACCTACCTGGATGGAGGTACAGCACTGCTTCACCCTCACCAAAACATTGCATTATTGGCCCAAATTCCTTCTTTTGGGAAAAGTCCCCTCATTGCGTCCCCTGGTCCGCTCCCCTCCCCCAACGGGGTAGACGCGTAACCCAGACTGGCCTTGCTGTTTGCTTCAGGAATGAGTCCAGACTTAAAAGGGGCTAAAAAGAGTCCTCTTTGGATTTTATACAGAGGACCGCAGGGGAAATCGCTTCCTGTTGGTTATGATGCGAAACTGCTGGTACAGCCGGACCCAGCAGGAAAGAAGGAAACCAGTACACAGAGCCGATGTGGGAACACCTGGATCCAGCCATGCCTGATGCTGGAATACTCACGATTCTCTAATTATATGAGCGATACACACCCCTTTTTCCATTAGGCTACTTAAAGGTTGGGTTTCTACCAGCTGTACCAAAGGGTCTCCACTCCTAAGGTTCTCAGTCTTTGCCCCTCTGAGGACATCTCTGCCTGAACTCTGCTCAGACCGGCCCACTTCTTTCTTAATCCACTTGGAGATTTCTCCTCTTGGTGCCTTTCCTCACCTTCCTCCAGAAATTTCCCTCTCCTCTCCATGTCTGCCTTGGTGATCAAAACCTACAGCACTCCACCCCTCCTTGGAGCCCACAGTACTCACTGGTGCCCACCCCAGGGATCAGGAACCCAGCCTTTTGCAGCCTCTCATGGGTGGAAGATGCACCGGCACAGTCAGACTCGACCACCCTTGAATCTGGATCAGGTGCAGGCAGTGCATGCCCCACCCGGGGATGCCCCCTCAACTCTCTAGCCTGGTCCTTTATGATAATGTAAGTTTTAGAGAAAAGAAGTGGCTCCCGACTCCTGTTTGAGTTTTCTCAAGTGCCTTGTACTTATTTGGCACTAACTGGTGAGTTCTATTTTTAGTCACCAGCTTTGTGTGACATAAGAAAGTCACTTCTCTGGACCCATCTGTGACAGAAGACACAAAAATTCTGTGTTTGCAGAATAATTAAAAACCAACAAGACCTTTTCAGAGTACTCATACCTGTCCTTTTTTTTTCATGAGCACAGTATCTTATTATAGGACGAGTCAAGCAAGAATTCTCCCCATTTTACAGATGGGTCATCCAAGCCCAGAGATATCAAGTGATGTTTCCAAATAGAAAATGAAGTCCTAGGCCTTTCTAGAGTTTGCAGGTTGGGACCCACCTGGTCTACCTCCTCAAGTAACATGGACTGAAGCTAGCAATGTTTGTGACCCAGCCAACGTCTTGTAAGGTTGCTAGTGACTCCCTGTCCTTAGCACTTCCTTGGCCTCCTCTACAGCCAGTGAACTACAGTGGTAAAATTAGGACACAGGTGTGCTGAGTCAAGGCTGCCTCAGTAGTGTTAGGATTCTCAGCAAGAAGCGACCCAGAACATCCTTGGAGCGTGATGCCTAAAAGATCAAGGAGCAGGCAGCTGCAGAGTGTGGTAACTAGTTGCCCTGGTGTTTATCCTGAAAATACTGAGTATGTCTGAAAGGCAAAGGGGAAAATAGATCCTGAGAAGCACTAAACTCTCCTTGAGCATCAAAGGTGCTTATTTCTTTTTTTCTTTTAATTTATTTTTTGAGACTGAGTCTGGCTCTATCGCTCAGGCTGGAGTGCAGTGGCACGATCTCGGTTGACTGCAACCTCTGCCTCCTGGGTTCAAGCGATTCTCGTGCCTCAGCCTCCCGAGTAGCTGGGATTACAGGTGCCTGCTACCATGCCCAGCTAATTTTTATACTTTTAGTAGAGATGGGGTTTCACCACATTGGACAGGCTGCTCTCGAACTCCTAACCTCAAGTGATCCGATCCGCCTGCCCCAGCTTCCCAAACTGCTGGGATTATAGGCATGAGCCACCGCTCCTGGCCGAAGGTGCTTTTTTCTTCATGGAATGGTAAACGCCAAACATTTGGCCCTAAAACTCAAGACTCAAAACTCCACAAACTACTGTTTAGTAGTTTTCTAAAGTTCTACTACAATTAATGGGGACTGCTCAAAAGGCAATAGAGTTTATACGATGATGGTCCCAATTTAGCATATACTCAGAATTTACCTTATGTCTTTTCACTATTCTGTTATGAAAGACAGCATGGTATGTCAAAAACACTTCTGAAATACCATGGAGTTACTTAAAAATAAGGTGGTAGATCCATATATGTACATATTTTTGAGACAGTGTCTTGCTCTGTCACCCAGGCTGGAGTGCAGTGATACAATCATGGCTCACTGCAGCCTCAGCCTCTCAGCTTCAACCAATCCTCCCACCTCAGCCTCCCAAGGAGCTGAGACTACAGGCATGCGCCACCATTCCCGGCTAATTTTTAATTTTTTTGTAGAGATGGGGTCTTCCTATGTTGCCTGGGCTGGCCATGAACTCCTGGGCTCAAGCAATCCTCCTGCTTTTGCTTCCCAAAGTGCTGGGATTACAGGTGTGAGTCACTGCCCTGGGCCTAGATCCATATCTTTTGACCAACGAGATGGTCATTAATAAAATACCATGGGTATTTTATTAAGTGCAAAAAGGCAAATTATAGAGGAATTATCTACAGATAATTTTTAAACACTTTACATCAATATAATACTTTTAAAAACAGAAATGGATGTGGATCTATTTCTAAATATGAAAATACAATACAAACGTAATGGTGAATGACTCACACATAAACGAAACATCCAGACAAAAACAAAAGTCCATGTGGGTTCTACCAATTTTTCAAGGAACACACTCAATTCCTATTTTTTTTTCAGAATACAGAACAACAGCAAAAGCTGCCCAGTTCATCTGATATGTCCAGTATAATACTGTTTCCAAAATTAGATGAGAATAATTCAAGAAAAGGTTCATTTCATTTATGAATACAGTTGTCTAACTTGAGTAAAATATTTATTACCTAAGTCCAATAGTGAATTCAAAAAATACATCATGATGATCAAGTAGGGCTTTTCCCGGGCCTGCCAGGATGGCTCAGCATCAGAAAATCCATCACGAAAGATGTCCTGGGATCAGGCCACCGTGAGCCCCAGTGCCTTACTGTTCTTGAACTCAGAAGGAGCAAGAGTGAGCAGCATGGTGATAAAGTTTTATAATTAAACAAAAATGAAGACTAGGTTCGACCACAGAATGCCGGTGCTATTGTTATTTGAAAACCATGCTCTCCAGGGCTGAAATCTTCAAGGTAGTTGAGGCTTCTAGGGTGATATGAGATGATCAAGGACACGTTGGGAGAGTTCTAGCTTTGCCACTCTCTGTGTGGCCTTGCCCCATCTATTTAACCTCTGTCTGTAAAATGAGGGGTGGGATAGGTGAGCTCTGAGATCCCTTTGCCTGAACCAGTCTTTAGATGTAACCACTTCTTTCCTAGGTTGGAGACGGATTCTTACAAGTCCCGCGTCACGGAGCCTATACTCGAGGCCGTGCTTGGTAATTCTTTCCCACCTGTTGCCCCATCAGTGTCCAGCTACCTCTCTGAAGGAACCACAGCTTTCCCAGGGGGCAGGGGCCCTCTGGGAGGCCTCATGGCAACCCTTCCCCGGCCGTCCCCGCCCAGCACTCACCCGTGCAGTTCCTCTGCTGCACCAGCATCTGCTTCAGTTCGCTGAACTCGCTGGAGCCTTCCGTGGACTCCTCCAGCGTGTTCTCTGGCTCCTGCATGTCCAGGTCTGGCTGTTCCCCACAGGGGTCACCCAGCTCTGAGTCCTGGAAGCCGTGCTCTTCCACCTGTCCCATCAGGGGCTCAGGTGTCTCCAAACTTTCTGAGCCCTCGTCGTTGGTCTGTACCTCGATCTTAATCACGATCCCATCGTGCGCTGAGAGAGGGTGGGCAGGGGTGAGGAGGAGAAAAGAACCCAGAATGTTCATGCCAACTGCCCAGGTTTCTGCAGCCCTACAATTTACATCTCAATAAGTCTTATCTTAGAGACCCTGAAGAAATGTAATATTGAGTTGGAAATGAGTAGACACAGAATTTTCTGGACACCTTGTAGCTTTGAATACCAATACAAACTGTAGTCAAGTTAAAATAGATGCAAAGTTTGTTTTCCATGAGCTCCATAATTAAAAAAAAATATTCAGCATTGTCAGGGTTTATTTTTACTCTTATTTTTTCAATAGAGAAAGGTCTCACTCTGTCACCCAGGCTCGAGTGCTGTGGTGTGATCATAGCTCACTGCAGCCTTGAACTCCTGGGCTTACATGATCCTCCCATCTCAGCCTCCCAAAGTGCTGGGATGACAGGCATGAATGAGTCACTGCGCCCAGCCAGGGTTTATTTTAAAGAGATGCTCATTCCCTTTCTCAGTCAGACCAGCCAACCGGTACAGTTAACACAGTTTCTCTCTCATCTGCTCACTCACAATCAGGTCGATGAAGAAAAGGCTACCTCCTGACCACTCCCACCCTTCGGCCCCATACCCTGAGGTGTCCAAAAAACACTCACATTCCCAAGCACGTATGCATGTACACCATGGGCATTTGGGTTTGTTTTTAGTTAAATAGCATCCTGTTACGCACTGCCCTGAAATTTGTTTCTAAACTTGCCTATAGGTCTGTAGATTAATTTCAAATGTATCATTACATACATAGGTGTCATTTTACATAAATGGGATTATAACATTTTTGGTTTTTAGTGCAGTATTTTTTTCCATCTAATCTGCCTTCCCCTTCCCTTACTTCCCATTTCACCGCTATGACTTCCCAGGTAACTCCTATAATTTACCAGGACTTTTCTCTGTGCTTATGTTGTTATTCTAAACAACACATACACATTTATATGTTTGTTTCTTTTTCTTTTTTTTTTTTTTTTGTCACTATTGGCCTCTTCTGTGTTCCTCTACTCAAATATCTTGTAGAAATCCCTTCAAACCAATTTCTTTTTTTTTTAGACGGAGTCTCGCTCTGTTGCCCAGGCTGGAGTGCAATGGTGTGGTCTCGGTTCACTGCAAGCTCCGCCTCCCAACTTCAAGCGATTCTCCTGCCTCAGCCTCCCGAGCAGCTGGGATTACAGGCACCCGCCACCACACCCGGCTAATTTTTTGTATTTTTAGTAGAGACGGGGTTTCACCGTGTTAGCCAGGCTGGTCTTGATCTCCTGACCTCGTGATCCGCCCGCCTCAGCCTCCCAAAGTGCTGGGATTACAGGCGTGAATTTTTTGTATTTTTAGTAGCGATGGGGTTTCACTATGTTGGCCAGGCTGGTCTCGAACTCCTGGCCTCAAGTGATCTGCCCACCTCAGCCTCCCAAAGTGCTGGAATTACAGGCATGAGCCACCACACCTGGCTTCAAATCAATTTCTACAGTGCTAATACACTGTTAAAAATGCTGTATATATTCCATGGTCAGGATAATACCGTGGCTTATTCATTCTTTCCCTAACAGAAGAACATTCACGTTTTGTTCCCAGAGTTTTGCTATGGTGAACAAATGTTTACTGCAATGACAATAGAATATGTCATGTACACACATATTCATTCATTCATCGAATGTTTACTAGCAGACACTGAGCACCAACTACATGTCATGTGGTCTAACGGCTTTTGATATATCCAGTGAAAAAAACATAGACCTTACATAAGGTGGTAGACACAATAAATAAATTACTTTGTATGTTAGAAGGTGACAAGTGCTGTGAGAAAAAGAGAAAAGAAGCCAGGAGATAAATGAACCAAGCAGCCTCAGTCCTGCCCTCCTGAGGCTCTTCATGCTCCTCTGCCAAATCCATTCATTCCCTTACTAAGAAATCAGACAAACTCATCAGGCTGAAAATGGGTGCTAGATGACCTAAGCTGGATTCCTTCGGATGCGCGGCACTCCTTTAATGCCTCTCTGATTCACCAACTCAACTGGTTTGGAAGTGGATGGAATATAAAGCAGCTCTAATGTTCTCATTTACCCCCCCGCCACAGCCTTAAATGAAGACCTTTGATTCCCTCAGAACTGTGGAACTCTCCCACTCTCTCCAAAGATGTCTGTGTCCTATTCTCTATTAAAAGGAAAAGAAAAAGTCATCCATACCTCCATCCCCTACTTCCTACACTGGCTCAAAGTCACCATCTTTACCTCCCTTTTCTCTCCAATCTCAGGGAAAGTAATGTCTCTCTTCCCTCCTCCTGTCACTGAACTCCTCTGCTTGTTTCCTTAGCCCTGCCCATTTCTTTCTCCCTGGAGTTTTGCTCCATTAGTTGTGTGCCTTTTCCCATCTGTCTTCAATCCTTGTCTCTGCGCTAAATTGTTATGATCCCTCCACAAACATGACCACGACTCTAGCATCAGGAAAACTTCCCTGACTTCACAAACTACTTAAAATATTTTGCTTGCTTACACCTTAAAATGATTTTTAAAACTATGTACTCCTTTGCACCTTTTTGAATAAACATATAAAATGCATCAGTAACTGCAAAAGATGTAATTTCTGGAGTATTGTAAATATTGATACTTTGAAATAAACTCTTCCATCACCCTTTAATGTCACCAATGGAATCTAAGAACCCCGGCAATTTTAAACCCACCATTATTCACTTAAAAATACATGAACAAATTCTTCTTTGATAGCTGGAATTTTTATATCATTCCTTTTCACCTTGAACTTCTATTTCTATTCCCACTTTGCCCACAGAATTTTATCCTAATAGAACATATTTGTATGTTTAGAAGCCTTTTACTGATCACTTCCTCTGCCACTCTGCCACAAAAATGTGTATGTAAGTTGAAAGTTTAATTTTGCTTTCATTTCTAATAACCACAGGTCTCTAAGTGTTCATTTTTTTTCTGGCTTAAGTTATCCTTAGTGATTATCACTATAGAATGATAAATAATTATCCAAGATAGAAAATAAAGAAACTTTGGGAAATGTATCTCTTATAAGGATGAATAGAAATTTTTTCTAATTAGTTTACTTATCTAGAAATCAATATTCTTATTGTAGAATGTACAGTTCAGAATCAATTTTAGTCTTTTTCATTTTTATATATGAAACCTCATTTACATTGGGAAACCTCATTTACATAAATATGTAGATGGGCTGGAAGAAGCTTTGTTATGGAACTGTCACTCAATTCTGAACTTCTGAATTATATGCCACGAAGATCACATGGTCAACATGATCATCAAAAACTGTTTCTAATGACCTATTAGCTCACAACATGATTAGGTTCTTTCAATTTTGTTAAAGGTAAAATATTGCTAACAACCTAAGCTGCAAGAGAACTTGCCATCCAGGCCCCAGAGTGACACGCTGCAGGACATGTATCTTAAAATTCTGAATGTTTTCTGTTTGGTGACCTGGGGGCTTTATGCCTCTGAGAAATGCTTTATAGTAAGATGGAGATGGGCAGGAAGTGACTGTTTTGTTTTGTTTTTTAAGAGATGAGGCCTTGCTCTGTTGCGTAGGCTGGAGTACAGTGGTGAGATCATGGCTCACTGCAGCCTCAACCTCCTGGCTCAAACCACCTGCCACCTCAGCCTCTAGAGTAGCTGGGTCTACAGGCAAGTGCTACCATGCCCAGCTAATTTTTAAAGTTTTTGTAGAGACGAGGTCTCCCTATGTTGCCCAGGTTGGTCTCAAACACCTGGACTCAAGTGATCTTCCCATCTCGGCCTCCCACAGAGCTACGATTACAGGCATGAGCCACCATGCCCAGCAGCCTGTTGTTTTTTTGTTTTTTTTTTTTTTTTTTTAAATAATGGGAGATGTAGATGAGAAGCCACATTTCAGGGACCACATGCATTGTGTGCTTTTGGCTGATCAGTTGGACAAGAAGAGATGGACTAAGGACTGGAAATTGTGCCCTCAAAGCCACCTGTATTATGTCCCTCTTGGGGAGTACCCTTGTCCCCTCAAGAGCATGGGTACCTCAGCTTGAAGACGAGTGCCTTCAATACCTGGCCCTACTTCAAGACCCAACTCGGGTGTCCACCACTCCATCAAGCCTCTTCAGTGCTCTCAGCTGGACGTAGCTGTGCTCCTCCCTGAGCTCTAGGCATTCGCCTGCTCCTCTTTGTGGCACATACTCTACTCTTCCTCCCTCAAAACAGGCAGTATGTACACACTTTCACCTCCCCTCCACTTGCTAAACAGCAGGGAACGCCAGCGTTTCCCACCAAAAATGTCTCCCCACCCCGAACAACTTTTCAAAGAGTATTGACAACCAAGCTGCATTCATTTATAAGCAGGAATTTGTTCTCCCATTTAAAAAATTAATCGAAGACACATACATTGTGGGAATATAGTTTATGAAAAAGGTAACATTTCAATCCAGTGGGGAAGAGTTTAAAAGGAATGGAGACAACTGGCTTCCTGATTAGAAAGGGAAAAAAGCTACTTCACATATTTCACATCAAACTCCTGATGAACAAAAAAATTTATGTATAAATAAGAAATTCATACCTAAGTTTTACAACTTTAAGCTGAGGAACAGGCTATCTGTAACCCTATGGCACTTCAGATATTCCTTCTGGAGGATGTTCGGTTATTCGTGCCAAACATATTAAATGTGCCCAACTCTTATCAACTATAAATTTTGCTATAAATTGTTTTGAAAGGATTCTTGTAGCTTGCTGTTGCCATCATTTGGCTATAAGAAACTTATTTAATCTGTGATTGGTTTTTAATCTTTGTAATAATTCGTGTTCATAAGAACTCCTGTGGGGTGGGGGAAATCCTATAAGTTGTTTTCAAATGTATTAAACCTTTGTGAAGACTGAATTTATTAGTTACTGAAAGTGATATAATGCTATATTTTTAGACATTTAGTTAAAATAAGCATTTAATTACTTAGACTTAGCAATTTTCTTTTTGTTTTCTAGGGCAAAAAATATTTTATTTTGTGTTTCAAATATTTTTATAGGTTTTTTTTGAGATGCTCACAGACCTAAGATCTGTGATCATAGTGTTTACTAAATAAAATAGCTTGAGTAAATATTTCTACACTTGATACGAAACCCAGATTGGGAGGCTGAGGCGGGTAACGTCAGGACAAACTCCTGACGTCAGGAGTTCGAGACCAGCCTGGCCATCGTGGTGAAACTTCGTCTCTACTAAAAAATACAAAAATTAGCTGGGCCTGGTGGCAGGGGCCTGTGATCCCAGCTACTCGGGAGGCTAAGGCAGGAGAATCGCTTGAACCCGGGAGGCGGAGGTTGCAGTGAGCCGAGATTGCGCCACTGCACTCCAGCTTGGGCGACAGAGTGAGACTCTGTCTCAAAAAAAAAAAAAAAAAAAGTGATAAATTTGAATACATAAAAGTTAAAAACTGCTATTACACACACACACACACACACACACACACAGACACACACACAAAATATAAAAGTAAACCACAGGCCAGGCGTGGTGGCTCACGCCTGTAATCCTAGCACTTTGGGAGGCCAAGGTAGGTGGATCACCAGAGGTCAGGAGTTTGAAACCAGCCTGGCCAAAATGGTGAAACTCCGTCTCTACTAAAAATACAAAAAAATTAGCCATGCATGGTGGTGGGCACCTGTAACCCCAGCTACTCAGGAGGCTGAGGCAGGAGAATAGCCTGAACCCAGGAGGTGGAGGTTGCAGTGAGCTGAGATAGCGCCACTGCACTCCAGCCTGGGCAACAGAGTGAGACTCTGTCTAAAAAAAAAAAAAAAGTAAACCACAAACTAGGAAAAGTATTCACATACATACTGTTAGACAAGAGCTAATATCCTTAATATTTTAAAAGCTTTTTACAAATCAATAATAAAAAGACGAGTAATCCAAAAGAATAACAACAAAGATTATTCACAGAGTAGTAAGACATACTAGTAATCAATAAAGGTATGAAAATATGCTCAACATCACCCTTATGGAAAGTCAAATAAAAACATCCAAATATTGTGTTTTTTCTACTTATTACTTTGGCAAATGATAAAAAGATAAATAATACCTATTACTGGTAAGAGTGTGTAGAAACAAACATTCTCATGCTTAGAAGGGTGAAGGCATGTAAATTGGCACAAGTGATTTGAAGGGATTTGCCAGGATCTATTAAATTTTTAAGTGGGTGTATCCTTTGACCCAGAAAATCCATTTCTAAATAAATTCCAGACAAGTGCATGAAGATCTATTTATAATAATCTTTACTGAGGCGCTGAAACTTGTGAACACCCTAAATGCACATCAATGGCAGAGTATTTAAATAAATTATGAAATCAATACACAGAATACTACTGTCAGCTATGAAAAAGAACACGACAAATTTATATATTCTGACGTAAAAATGTCAATGATATAGTATTGAAAAAAGAAACTTGCCAATACTTCTATATTGTCTGATTTTTTTACAATGATAATGTGTATATGTATTACTTATATAATTAAGGCCATGTGTATGTAATCACATGCACATAAAATTGGAATGAATAAACTGCTGACTCTTGAGAGAAAACTATGGGGGACTTTCACTCTCTCTGTACTTTTTCTTTGTGAAATTAAAAACCAGTATTGCCACATTAACTCTCTCTACCAGCTCAAAGTAAATAAATATTGGTTGACACTGACTTTCCAATCTTCGCATGGCTATACTGTTAGGTTTTTTTAATTAAAAAAAATTTTTTTTAAAGTTATACATGCACATAGGCTAGTGGAACATAGTTGAACAGTTCTTCAAAACTTCTTTTTTTTGAGACGGGGCTGCATCTTCCACCCCTTGGATTCAAGTGATTCTCCTGCCTTAGCCTCCTGAGTAGCCGGGATTACAGGCATGGGCCACCACACCCAGCTATATATACATATTTTGTGTACTTTTAGTAGAGATGGGGTTTTACCATGTTGCCCAGGCTAATCTCAAACTCCTGACCTCAAGTGATCCACCTGCCTCGGCCTCCCAAACTGTTGGGATTAGAGGCGCGAGCCACCACACCCGGCCCAAAACTTATTTTTTAAAAAGTTCTTTTCCACTCCTCTGCCCCCATTTCCTGCTCCCCGAAGCAATCACTTCAATGATTCCAGCTGACTCTTTGGTCATTTACCTCCATAACTCTAAGTAACACACTTATATTGCTACTCCTTGAGTTTTCAATTTTAAGCATCATCCATTGACTTCCAAGGGATGACGGTCAGAACCATCTCCTCCGAACTGATCCTGCCAATACAGTTTTGTTGTAATTTTAGTTGGATCAATACTGGGTGTTTACCTCGCTAGATTATATCAATGTTATTTATAACTAAACTCTGTAGTATTCAGTGAGTGCCTCCTACGCCTGTAAACCTTCTTGCTTTCCCTAGATCTGACACTTATTTCTTTTGCCCAGCTTACGACTAATTATCATGAACTTAGCCCCAAACTCCCCCAACCTTACCTTGCTGTGTAACTCTCCTTTCCAAACATTCAAATATATTGGGTATTTATCCATTTCATCTACTTGAAGACAAATTTCTGGGACCTGCGGAGGTGCCCCACTCGACTGGCTGCCTCTAGGTGCACAGCTGACCTCTCGGAATGCCCCTGGGCCGTGTGCCTGGAGTGCCTCCACCTCTCTCTCAAGTTGGGGTTTGTAATGCCTCCTTCTTGGTTTACTTCCTCATTTTGGCAAAGCGCCTGCCCCAGTTTGATAAAGGATTTGTGGAGACTTGAATATCTCAAAATGACTCAGTTTCACTCATATTTAATCGAAATAGTCTGGCTAGACATTGAATTATAAGTTGGAAAATATTTTCCTTTGGAATTTGAAAGGCACTACTCTACTGTCTTCTAGCTCCCAATGTGGTTACAAATGTCTGAGGCCATTCTAATTCTCATTTCTTCGCATGACTCTGTTTCTCTTCCCTGGAAGCTCGTAGGATTTCCTTTGTTCTCAGTTGCTCTGAAATTCCGTGCTGAAAGTGTAGGTCTATTTTCTTCCAGTGCTCTGGGCAGCTGGCTCTTTCAATCTAGAAAATTACGGCTTTAATTGGCGGGACCTTTTCTTGAATTATTTTGTTGATAATTCCCACCTGTTTCTGCTACTCTTTTTCTGGATATTCCTATTATCTGGATGTTGGACTTCCATCCTTCAGTTTTCTTATTCTTTCCCTATTCCCTTCCATCCTTTATTTTTATTTTTTTCCCTATTTTCTTTTCTTTTAGCTTTATTTTCTGGGATGTGTGCTTATCCTCCAACACTGCTCCTGAGTCTCTAATTTGTACTATTACATTTTTTATTTCCAAGAGTTCCTTTCTATTCCTTTTTTAAAAAACAAGCATTACACTTTTGTGTCATGAATGCATTCACTTATTTGATTTAAGGATTTTACATGTGAGTATTCATATATACATTTTTCCCTCTCTGCATGGTCTCTGTTCCTCTAAATGTATTTTTTCTGATTTCTTTACTTGTCTCTGTACACCACAGAGTTTTCCCAAATGTCTTCTCATTCTTGGTTGTCCCCGGAGACTTAAAAGGGGACACTCAAGAGAACAGGGAGCTCAGTGCATTTGGGTGAGGCCTGCTAACTATGGGACTCTGTTTGGCCCATAGGGTGCTTTGGCCAAGTCATTTTACCCAGAAACCTCTTGGGCTGGTCCCAAAAGTCTCCAGATAAGCCTCTTCAAATATCCTGCCCAGTGGGTTTAATTCTGGGTGTTGGCAACATTTCGGGAGTCGAGTTAGGGAAGAAGGCTGGAGGTCTCAACATCTGCACGTCAAGTCTCCTTCTTCCCGTTTTCAATATGGTGCCCCACCCTCAACTGTGCCTGGTGCCCATGTCCAGAGAGCCTCCTTTGCACCCTCCCCAGAGAATAAGCCTGTCACATATCAGGGCTAGGGAAAGGCAGATGCCTGCAGTAGGGACTGAGGGAGGCAATGGGAGCTGAGGGGAGCTTTAAGCGGTCTCTTTAAAAGATGTTCAGCCAGCTGTCTGTGTTTAGCCTCACTTCATTCCTATTTCCAGGGATCCCTAGAGTCTCTGGTACTATTAACTCTTGAGCCCCAAGCAGGTGTGGGGGTGCAAATTGGGTTTCTTCTCAGTTTTCCCCAGTACCAATTTCAGATTCAGCTCACCACATCTATCCACCTGCTTCAGGGCTGAAAAACTTCGTTGCTGTTTCTCCTTTCTTTTTAAAAGTTTCTTCACTCTTGTTTTAGAAGGATTTGGGAGGCCGGATGTGGTGGCCTGTAATCCAAGCACTTTGGGAGTCCGAGGCGGGCAGATTACCTGAGGTTGGGAGTTCAAGACCAGCCTGACCAACATGGATAAACCCCATCTCTACTAAAATACAAAATTAGCCAGGTGTGGTGGCACATGCCTGAAATCCCAGCTACTGGGGAGGCCGAGGCGGGAAAATCACTTGTATCCTGGAGGCGGAGGTTGCAGTGAGCCAAGATCGCGCCATTGCACTCCGGCCTGGCAACAAGAGCGAAACTCCATCTCAAAAAAAAAAGGAAGGATTTGGGAAGGTGGGAATAAATACATGTTCAATCTGCCCTGCTCAACTCAATCTTTCATTGTGTACTGTTTTAAAAAATATATTTTTACTGAATAAGGAGTAATACATGCTCACATCAGAACATTTTAAAAAACATAGAGAAATATGGCTTTGGTATGTTTCCATCCAGTTTTTTTTTAATCTACTTTTGCTTACATCACTGACCTCACTATAGTTACATTTCCCACTTCTACATCCTTAATCCTCCTATCAACTGGATCATTCCCATCAACATTTCAAACAAGCTTTAGCAATCCCCATCTTAGGCAAACAAGAATCCCCCCAACTGTCCCATATTTCCACTCCCCCACAGCTACACTTCTTGAAATGACTGTCAGCACCTGCCATCTCTACTTCCTCGCCTCCCACCTGCTCCTCACCCACTGACTATCAGGCTGCCACCTCCACTAAGGTACCAACGTTTGTCTTCCTAAGGTCACTGATGACTTTTAGCTTGCAATCCAATGGACCCTTTTTAGTCTTCCTGTTCCTAAACCACACAGCAGAATACGACACGGTTGGGCATACTCTCTCCTTCTGGAAGCATCCTTCTCTAGAAATACCCAACAAGGCAGTATCCTAATTCTCCTGCTACCTTTCTGGCCACTCTTTCTGTTTCCCGTGATTCCTCTGGCTCCTTCTTTTTCCACAACAGTGGTTTTCCACCCTGGCTGCAGATGAAAATCACCTTGGAAGCTAAAAAATACTAACATCCGGGCCCCATCATGAACAACATATTCCAAATCCCCGAATCTGCCCCAAAAGCCAGGGTTCTGCAGGGCATGGCTTGTGTTCTCCTCTCTTCCCCCTCTACAGACTGAGCAACCTAATCTAACTCTGCTGCCGACACCCAAATGTCCAAATGTGCCAAGGCCAGATGTCTCTAGCTCAGACCTCGGTTCTGAACTCCAGACTCCTTTATTCAGCTGCTTTCTCAACACCTGCTCTTTGATGTCTCACAGGGATCTCAAACCTAATGTGTTCAAAACGGAATTCTCAGTGTTTCTCCAAATCTGAACCTTACATTACCCTCCCTCTACTCTTACTTAAGCCAGAGGCCTGGGGGCCACCCTTAGCACCTCCCCAGCCCTCCTATTCAACACCCACCAATCCCTAAGGCCTTCCTAGTCCACTGCCAGAATATATCTTGACAACAGCCACTTCTCTCTCAGGGCGATGCCAAGGTTTCCTACCTGGAAGACGGAAAGAACCTGCAAGTAGTCTCCTAGCTTCCAGACCATCCCCCCTGCAGTGAGTTCTCTACGGAGCAACCAGAGCCCTACTTAGTCTTCAGGTTTCCACTAGAAATTCCACATCCTCCAAGAGGCCTTTCTGACTTCCCAAACTCAAGGGCACCTTCCCTGTCGTGTGTCTCGCAGCCCTGGATGCTCTGCGTCTCAGCTTTGTCACAGCTGGTGCCCGTGCTTTCATCTGTGGGGGGTGTTTTGGTTGTTAATGTCAGTCGCTCCACAGGAGTTAAGTCTGAGGGCAAGGGCCTCAGGGTTAATATAGTTCTTGACACAGTACCTGCTACCAAAGAGATCTGATGAACTAAATAAACATATGAGTGAAACTTATGGTTTCAAAACTCTTCATAAATGTGATTTTAGTGTGTAACAGTCTATCATACTGTGATTTATATTTGTACATCTTAATCTATATTTTGGATTCTTTTTCCTGCTAGACTCTCAGGAAGTAAATTATTAGGTCAAATGTAAGAACATTTAAAATATTTAAAATATACTTAAAAATAAGCCAGGTGCAGTGGTTCATGCCTTTAATCCCAACACTTTGGGAGGCTGAGGCAGGTGGATCACTTAAGATTAGGAGTTCATGAGCAGCCTGACCAACATGGTGAAACGTCATCTCTACTAAAGAAAAGTAAAAAAATTAGCTGGGCGTGGTGGCACACACCTGTAATCCCAGCTACTCAGGAGGCTGAGGCAAGAGAATTGCTTGAACCAGGAGGTGGGAGGTTGCAGTGAGCAGAGATCACGCCACTGCACTCCAGCCTGGGCAACAAAGTGAGGCTCCATCTCAAAAACAAAACAAAACTATATATATATATATATATATATATAACTATATATAGTTATACATATAGTTATATATATAGTTATACATATAGTTATATAGTTATACATATAACTATATATATATATATATATATATATATATATAGTAAAGAATACATATATATTTTAAGACTAGAAAGCATCAAATTGCTTTCTCGAGAGACTGAAATGATGAACCCTCTGAGTGGCAATGTCTGAGCACACAGATTTCAGCCATGCCTTCTGGTTCGCTTTACTCTTTGCCAACTTGCTAGGTGAAGATGGTGCCTGGCTTCTCTGGCCTCCATGGCCACCCTTTCAAGGCCGTGAATGAATGGGAGCCCCTGTTCTGAGTATTTGGAGGGTTGACATCTGAATCATCTTTACATCTCTTTGCCCTTGGGAAGCCAACCATTAAATGATAGTTTATTGAATGAATTTACTTAGCCAATTCATAAAATTGTCATGTTTGGTATATTTGGAATTATGAGAAGTCTCAATTTTCTGGACTTTTACCCCTTTGTCTCATACTTTTGGTCTGGCCCATGGCTGGATTTGCTGCCATTCTGCAAAAGGAGAAGGCGCTTGGATGGACAGGTTACCACTGGAGTGCTACGGCTCTGATACCTGCAGTTTTGCAGAACCAGCCTGCAATGGCGAGGCCGGGGCCTTTGGTTTAGCACAGAGGTGCGAGTGTGCGGCCCACTCTGAGGGGCAGCGGTACCTATGTCCTCCCCTTTCCTCCCACTGCAGACTCCCAGGGCCTGGAGATGGTGACTGGAACAAATGACACATTTCAGCCACACAAGGAGGCCTCTGTGAGGCCGCTTCTTCCAGCAGAAGCTCCTGTGGATGTGCATGTGTCAGAACAAACCCAGCCCAGGACCGAATGGATTTGGGTTATTTGCTTTTCAATTCTGGCCCCATTCTGTGGGAGGCCATCTGTGATGAGGCAGGGAAAAGCAGACAGAGAAAGGGGATCCATGCTCTTGCATCCAGCCCTTCCAAGAAAATTCTATGAGAGCAGCACCTGAACCGCAAGGCCCCGTTGGGACAGCAGATTGTATTTTAGGATTTTAACCACAAATCATCTCTCCTGACTTCTCATTCTCTGCCTCGCAACACTTCTTTCTCATTTCTTCCACCTAGAATCTCTCTATTTCTACTTGACCTTTGCTTTTGGATGTGGCCACTCAAACCTTTAAGGTTCAGACTGATTTTCCTCAACCAAAAGTTCACCCTGCCATGTGCCACACTGTCACCAATCCCTCATCCTCATCAATTTTTAAATTCCTCTTTTCTGTCTGCAGGAAGGAACTCAGGATTAGCCCCTCTCCTCGAGTTAAATTTTAGGCAAATCCATAGAAAGTGACACCACTGGATTTCTCTGGGACATGCCAGCACTTGTATTTTTACAGGGTTCTGTCTCTCCCAGAAGTCACCTTCCCACTCAGTACATGGGGCCAACATTACTCCCATGTTCCTAGAACATCTGCTTGGAGCCAGTTGATAGGTCCCCAAATCAACGACATTAGTTCCTAACAAGACCTGGCTGTTGGCCCCAAACAGAGTTCTCCAGGTGGATCATCCTCTTTCAGCAGACATGATCGCCAGTAACTCTCAGCTATGTTCACACGCCACACCTGCCCACGAAGGACAAGGATCAGCTTCTGCTGATGACCATCAAGATAAGTGATGCAAGTCCAAAGGCAGTTCCAAAGCAGGGGCTTCAGAGAGCAACCATGCACCACAAGAGCGCCTGCAGTGTGAGTGTGTGAGCCACTGACCCAGCTGCTGTGAATGGGGCGACCTCCAGGCACACCAACAGCGGCTGGTGTATACTGAGCCACTGCTATGTGCCAATCACTGTGCCAGGCCCTACGGTTAGATATTAGTGCCAGTTCTATTTTATAGATGAGGAAACTGAGACTCTGAAAAGATCAAGCAACTGAAATCCCACCCCCAGTAAGCAGAAAAACTATACTCAGATACAGTCAGCCTCACACCAGAGTGTGCACATGAGCCACACGGCCTCTGGTCAGTCTCGCTGGGTGCATATCTGCTGACTCCACCTACATGCTGTCCTGCTGAAGCTGTGCATGTAGGATGTTTCTGGTAAACTCCATGCCTGCCCCTTATCCCTCCACTGACCACCTGCAGGACTCAGGGATGTGGCCCTTTTCTCGGAAGTTCCAGGAATTTTAAGCACTAATGACTGCTTGACAAGGGACTGCCTTTCTTTGAGTTTCTTGCTTTATTTCCTACAGAGAGTGAGGTGACACTTGGTCATGTCAAAAAATTCCTGAGACAGTGAACCCAACGGCATTCCCATTAATCAACAAGTTGGGCCACTGGTGATCATGGCACTCCAAAGCAGGTCCTGGCACCTGCGGGCCTCCTTCCTGCTAACATATCCTGGCAGGGCCTACCTTGGATTGTGCTGCCTCATGCTGGCGCTTCCTGAGTACTGAAAGATCTAGAATGCAGAGCTGCAGATCACCCTTAGCCACTCACCAGCACTGGGATCTGTCGGCGTTTCGCCCTCCTCAGAGTCTTCCTGCTCCTGCATGGTGGGCCGCTCCCCGCGCTCCATCTGTGACATGAGGTCTGGTTTGGAAATTGCATAGTCTAGGCAGAAGAAAGGGAAAAAAATATGCTCTGGGATGAGGTTGCACTGGATGTTGTTAAGGTATCATCTGTGGGCACGTGATTCCAGGAGCAGCTCCTCGACTGGAGACCACAATGGAAAACCGCCAAGTCTCCCCTTCTTTTCCCAAGAGCCCACTGTGGGTGTGGGGGTGTGGGTGTGTGTGTGTGGCGGGGGGTAGAGGGATCGTGTTGCTCAGAGGTAGTCAAAACCTGCCCAGGTTTTCATGATAAAGGCAGAAGATATTTGAAATTTTGTAAGGTAAAAAACTAATCCTGGCCGGGTGCAGTGGCTCACACCTGTAATCCCAGCACATTGGGAGGCTGAGGCAGACGCATCACCTGAGGTCAGGAGTTCGGGACCAGCCTGGTCAACATGGTGAAACCCCATCTCTACTAAAAATGCAAAAAATTAGCCAGGCGTGGTGGCGGATGCCTGTAATCCCAGCTACTCGGGAGGCTGAGGCAGGAGAATCACTTGAACCTGGGAGGCAGAGGTTGCAGTGAGCCAAGATCACACACTGCACTCCAGCCTGGGCAACAAGAGTGAAACTCCGTCTCAAAAAAAGAAAAAAACAAAAAACTAATCCTGATAAAAATCTAAAAGCCATAAAATATCGATAGATTTTCTTACATAAAATAAGTCTGCAGTTCTTTGGAAATAAAGTTAAAAGATGAAGAAACTTGGAGGAAATATTATACATATATATACATGTTTGACATATGGCAAAGGGTTAATATCCATAGTTATACATAAAGAACTTCTATAACTAGTAAAATTGCAAAGCTATAAATAGGTAATTCATAGAAGAAATATGAATGGCCAATAAATATATAAAAAGATGCACAAGTTCACTGGGCACAGTGGCTCACGCCTGTAATCCCAGCACTTTGGGAGGCCGAGGCGGGCGGATCACAAGGTCAGGAGATCGAGACCATCCTGGCTAACATGGTGAAACCCCGTCTCTACTAAAAATACAAAAAATTAGCTGGGCACGGTGGTGGGCACCTGTAGTCCCAGCTACTCGGGAGGCTGAGGCAGGAGAATAGTGTGAACCCGGGAGGCGGAGCGTGCAGTGAGCCGAGATCGCGCCACTGCACTCTAGCCTGGGCAACAGAGCGAGACTCCGTCTCAAAAACAAACAAACAAACAAACAAACAAAAAAAGATGCACAAGTTCACTAATCATCAAAGAATACATATTTAAATAAATGAAGTAGGCTGGGCGTGTGGCTCACGCCTGTAATCCCAGCACTTTGGGAGGCCGAGGTGGCTGGATCACAAGGTCAGGAAATCAAGACCATCCTGGCTGACACGGTAAAACCCTGTCTCTACTAAAAATACAAAAAAAAATTAGCCAGGAGCAGTGGAAGGTGCCTGTAGTCCCAGCTACTCGGGAGGCTGAGGTAGGAGAATGGCATGAACCTGGGAGGCGGAGCTTGCAGTGAGCCCAGATCGTGCCACTGCACTCCAGCCTGGGCAACAGAGCGAGACTCTGTCTCAAAAAAAAAAAAAAAAAGTAAATAAATAAATAAATAAGGTATCATTTTTCACCTATAAAAAAGGCTAATATTTAAAATAGAAGAACATCAGCTCAGGCCAGGGTATGAAGTGGCATTTTCACACACCCTTGCAGAAATATCAACTGGCTCAGCCTTCTGGAGGGCACCAGGCAGTAGCCATAAAACTATAAATGTGCATCCTGTTTACTTGGCAATCCCACTTCTTAGTATCTGTCCTACTGTAACACACAGAAGTGCACAAATACACAGAAATGTTTATCATAACACTTTGTAACAGTCAACCTACTCTTCAGCAACAGCAGACAGGTCAAAAGCCCTAATGGTTCACGTGGAACACTGCACTGTCTTTCCAAGGAGTCCTACGTGTGCTGACATGGAACACTCTCTATCCCCCTACATTAGGTAAAATAAGTAAACGGGCCCCTCTGTGCAAACCCCAAACTGCATGTGCCTCAGTGCATGTATCATGCTTATATCTGCACATGCAAAAAAAGATGAGAGAGAACACAGGCCAAAGTGTTCATGGTGGTTACCTCTGGGGAGTGGTACTGGTGAATGGGTGGTGGTTGCTCTTAATTATATAAATCATTTAAATTGTTGAATTTTCACAATTAAAAAACACAATTAAAAAAAGAAAAAAGAATTTTAAAAGGAAGGGAATGTATCCTATGGAAAGGTATGTATAAAATTATCAATTCTAGCTGGAATCAAAGTTTCTATGTGACAACACATTTAAATGTTTAAGATAACGTTTTTTTGTATATACCCAAAAAGTTCTCCATATCAGAGAAACAGATATATATACACACACACATATATATATGTAAGTAAAGTATATTTTTCCAGGTTTTCATCGTTAAATATTCTTAATTAAAATCACAAGAATCTACAGACTTCGGGGTAAGGCAGATCTCCATGAAATAAGCATTTAACCTCCCTGATCACAGCCTCAGTGTTCAGGCACCTGAATCATCGAACAGGAGTGTGAACACCTGTCTTAGCCTCCGCAACATCTTGGCTGTGCAGGTCCAAGGAGATGATACTTGTACAGCACCTCAAATGTGGCTGGTACACAGGAGACACTCAGCACACTTTCCTTTCATTCTTTTTTCCTTCCTTAATAATAGTTTGCTGGACAAACTAATTTATTTAAAAAGGGGTCCCCATGGGGAAAAATATGATGACGGAGAGACCACTGATGTCTAGGTCTTTCTCCTCCTCCTTGCCCCAGCAGCTTCTCTGAGAGTGGGGTCTCAATTTACAAGCCATTCTGGCCTGGGCCGCACTGATGTGTGTGGGTATATGAGGGCGTTTGCTTTAATTTGTTGTGATCTCTACAACTCTGTTCTCCTTGCTTGCAACTATTGGCTCTGCTGGGGTTCAGAACTCCCTAAGTTTATGAATGCACTTTGAGCTGGCGTCCAGGCAGCCCCCAGCGAGCGAAGGCTTCTCCTTACCCATGGAAACCAGGGACTCGTAGTTGCCCCTCATCACGTTCTTGTAGAGCTCCTTCTGCCACTCAGACAGGTTTCCCCACTCCTGCTCCGAGAAGTGCACAGCAACATCATCAAATGTGACAGGGACCTGAAACCACACAATAACTCGGCTCAGACCCGCTGGAAGGCAGTGACAGGCCCACGGCTGGCCAATCCCAAGGCCCAAACTCCTGGCTCTGGGCCTTCACCTAGGACTTTTCTAGAAGTCTGGCCACTGTCCTGGCCCCAAAGAGTGAGGGGCCTGTCTTGTCGGATCCTTTTCCTCCCCTTCAGGATATAATTCTTGCAGCTCTAAAGCATGGTCTGTGGACCAGCAGCAATGGTGCTACCAGGTAACTTGCTCAGACCCCACCTTAGACCTACTAAATAGCTTCTGCATTCAGTAAGATCCCGGGGAGATCCATGTGCACAGTAACATTTGAGACATACCGGGCTAGAGAACAGAGTCTGTTTTCTCCCTACATATGGCTGTGAAAGGGGGCAGCAGCACTGAAGAAGAGAAAGCAAGCCAGTCCACACTCAAGCTCTTTCAGAACCTTCTGGAAAATAATATGGAAACCTAACTTCTCTAGCTTTTGAAAGGAAACATCTTGAAATCAGTTTTCCTGGCACTAACATGGCTTATAAGTGAACTCATAAAAATGTGGAGTGGGACAGATCCTTGTGATGTTTAACCCAAGCTCCTTCCTCTGCTGCAATTGTGAAGCTAATGCACCCTCAGTGACTGATGGTAAAGCCTCTCCACGGCTCTCATCGGCCTTCGCTTTGCCTTCGTAGTCTCTCACACCATGGACAGCTCTGCTGAACACCCTTCCAAACTGACAATCCCCGATCCCAGGGGCATTTCTGTACTAGCCTATACTCTCATCAACAGGAGAAATAATTTGATTTTGGCATGTCCTAGCAACTGGGATCACTGTATTTTTTCCTTTATCAACCACCCCTTTCTTTCATATTACACTACATTCCTAAACCACACTCCAATTCAGATCACTTCCTTGGGAAGCCCCAGTTGGGATGTGCTTACCTTGGGAACTTCTCCATTGCTGCCGGGGGGCAGCCGCAGGATCCAGAAATTTCTGTTTTTCAGCAGGTTCTCCATGTTCTCCAGCCGCCTCTGCAGCAGCCCATACTCCTGCAGCAGGGTCCCCAACACGACCCACTTGCTCTCCAGATGGTTCGCGAACTCCACGGCTGTCTTCTCGCAGTCGGCTATCTTCTTTTCATTTGTCCCCGTCCTGCCTTCCAGGGTCAGTAGCCTCATGGCCTGGGCCTCCAGCTTCCTCTCCACTGCTTGGACGGCAGCCCACACAGCCAAGCGGGTGATCTCTGCCGTGGGGAGCGGCTGTTCCTTCTGGACTGCAGAAGAGATCTGGAAAGGGGTGTCCTTTTGGGAAACCGGGCTCTGGAGCAGCGGGTCCATGTCAGTCTCGGGAACTGTTGGGGAAAGGGTCAGGGGGTCTTTCTCAGGAGCTTCAGGGGAGTGAACGGGGGCTTCCTGGTGGTGGGGGGAGTGGGAGAGAAGGGAGACTTCTTGTTCAGCAGCAGCTGGGGGTGGATACTGGGTCCCTTCCTGGGAAGCCAGGGGGCCCTGGAGAGAAGTCTCTTGCTCAGAAGCGGCAGAACACAGGAGTGAGGGTCCCTTCTGGAGCACATGTGGCATCCGGCCAGAAGTCTCTTGCTTGGGAGCACTGGAAGTTTGGGGCAGGGAGCCTTGACGGGGAATGGTGGGAGACAAAGAAGGAATTTCTTTGGGAGGAAGAACGCGGGATTGGAACAGAGTTTCTCGGGGGAGTCCAGCAGGGGCCTGACGTAAGGTTTCTTCTTGTGGAACACTGGGGAACGACAGAGGTGATGAGCGTTGGTTCTCCATGTCCAGCTGCTGAACCTGTGTTCATGGAAGAAAGGAAAAGAGGATTAAAGGCCACAGTCTCCAGCTAGCAAAATAAAACCCAAAGACAAGTATACACATAAAAAGTGCTTCCGTTTGGTAGCAATAATATGTGCCCCTCATATGTGAATCTCTTCTAGAGACCACAGCACCAATTTAGACATCAATTATACCACTATTATGAACCGCAAATGAAAGATGATTATGCTACCTTTTGTTTCTCACAGAGCCATCTCCTTTTTCACAACATACATTGCACGGGTACCTTACGAACAGCAGTGTGGGAGAGCGGAAGGGTGCTGGACTCCTGTTAGAGCTTTTGGCCCTGTCTACACCTATTGCCACCTGTGTCACTCTGGATCGGTCGTTTGACCTCTCTGTTCTTAGTGTCCTGTGTCCTCATCCATAAAACGAGGATAATAATATCTGACACACACACTACCTGAGTTGTTGAAGCACTGAACATAAAACTTTGAGAAACAAAAGAGCAGAATTTTGTAAAAGCCAAGCACTTACTATCCCACATCTCCCAGCAGGGGTGGGGGGCTCACCAGCAGGGGCCAGAACTGTTAATGTTCTTAACTGGAAGGTGGACTTGGCATCCAGCCACCACCACTTCTACCAGCATTAGGCCTTTGTGGTGCCCTGGGTTCCTTCCTTCGCTTGGTCCAAAAGTGAGGACATGACATTATCTGAAGTTTCCCAGACTCTTACTCTTTGATAACAGTTGCATTGCAGACTCATATCAATGAGTCAGTATGGTATATGTATGTTTGACTTGGAAACATCTTCTATGTGCCCGGCCCCTGCTGTAGAGGCTGAACGGGCTTCTGGGTATTCTGGCCTGGCTTCTGCTATAAGCAGAGCGAGACATCGAGGCAGGTGAAGGCAGGCAATTCAACCACTCCTAGGAGTGGGCAGCAGTCCATTGCAGCAGGTGTGCTCAGGTGGTCTGGGTTCCACCCTGGGGTTTCCGACATGGGGAATGAGGAAGTAGTGAGGCCTGGAAGGATGGGGAAGTAGAGCAGAAGTCAGCTGGACTGGTGACTTGTATCCAGATTTGGGGGGACTAGACCAACATAAAGACTTGGAGTCCTTCTGGGATCTCAATGACCCACGCTCTCCTTGTTCCTCACCCTGCCATACTCACATCGAGAGAATTCCTGAATCACTGGGGAGGCGAAGCCACGATCTTCTGTGAGTAACTAGTTATGTATTTACCTAGATCATCAGTATCTTTATTGGAACCTAACACAATTTCTCCTGTAACAATTTCTGTCCACTCCCTCATCATCTTCCTTCAGTCAATCTGCTCAGTCACTATGCTCTATATCCAAGTGGTCTTTAATTAAAATTTCAATTTTCTTCCGTTGAAAATTGGCATAGCCCCAGTGTTCAGTCTGACATATAGTATGTGTTTGATAAATGCCGGCTGAAGAGTAAATTGTTGAGTTACAAAAAAATTATTAGGATAAACAATGACGTTCCTTTAGTCACCTATCAGAGACTTATCTAAAGCAATTCCATATCTTCTACAGCTTTTTTCTTTTATTGGTTCATTTATAGGTGACTTAACTGTGACAGCATCACACTTTTAAGCCACGGATTGAATATTCAAGATCCTATTCACAAAAGGTTTTTGAGATAGTATCGTCTAATAGCCTCTGCCGCGAACCAGACATGAGCGCTAATCAGCTGAGAATGGCTAACAATTATCCAGCATTTATTATGTGCCATGAGCTGTGTTAAGCATTTTAAAGGATTATCTCATTTAATCCTCACAAAATCTATGAAACAGGTACTACTAGAGTTACTATCCATACTTAGTACAGGAAGACACTGGGGACAGGAGAGACTAAGCAACTTGCCCCAGGTCACCCAGTGGTCTGGTTCCACAGCCTGCAGGCTACCTTGAGGCCTTAACTGTCAACTGAGGCAGCTGGCCAGGCAGGTGTGTGCTCTGAATCCTTTTTACCTCTAAAATCCCGAGGCCTGGATATTATTTATACACAAAGACCTGTGGCAGGTTTGATAGGGTTGGGAGAGGTGGGGAGGAAGGCCTTGCCTTTAGAGATATTATCATTTAAGTTGGGGTCAGGGACCTCTTTGAAAACCTAATGAAAGTTTTGGGTTCTTGTCCTCAAAAAAGACAAAAGGGCACATACACAGAATTTTGCAGACATCTTCAAGGAGCTCACAGACCCCTAAACCTGCAGGCTCATCAACAGCTAAGCCACCTCTGAACTCTTCATTCCCTGTGAAGGAAGCGCTGGGGGCCCTGGAGGCTAGGCGCCTGGCTCTCAGGGAAAGTGACTGCCTAACGCAACACAATAGGCACA